>NT_187626.1:0-82692 GCF_000001405.40 Homo sapiens
GCGTAAACCAATCCACTGATTTCGACCACTGATGCCTAGCACAGTCTCACTGTCCCCGCTCATGGTTCTCTAAACCACACGTCTTGTTTCCTTCCTGTCCCTTGATTACATTTTCATCTATGTACTTTTCCTACTTGTTTTTTAATTATTCACCTTATTTTAAATTTCTAAACATAAAATTGTTCCTATGTTTTATATACATATGTTTACATTAGAGACAGGGTGTCGTTCTGTTGCCCAGGCTAGAGTGCAGTGGTGCAATCACGACTCACTGCAGCCTCAAACTCCTGGCCTCAAGCTACCCCCACTTAAGCCTCCTGAGTAGCTGGGACCACAGGTACCTGCTACCACGCCTGGCTTTATTTTTTTTTTTTCTTTTTGGGTGGGTAAATACAGGGTCTTGGTGTGTGGTCTAGGCTGGTTTCAAACACCTGAGCTCAAGGGATTTGCCCACCTTGGTTTTCCAAAATGCTAGGATTACAGGTGTGAGCTATCATGCCTGGCCTATTTCTAATATTTATACTTAAATTCATGACTGTCTTCAAATGCCTGTCCGGGTCTAAAGTTCATCAACCCATTAAAGTATAGAAAAGATCATCTTGTTCTGGGGAGGCCATTTGAACTGTGATACAAGACCCAAAAAATATAAAGTCAGGATTGACACATTCCACGACATAAAGATTAAGAGTCATTGTCAGAAGCCCCACACGCAAAGTCCAAAGACGAACAACAAACGGGGAAAGCTGAGCCCAGAACAAGGCCTGCCTCCCCTATTAAAAAAAAAAAATACTAGAAGGCAGCGAAAGCCCCAAGAGAAACTAAGATAAAAGGAGTCAAAAAATATTCACCAGATAACTTCCTGGAAAAGAAGTAAAAACCACTGCTAAATGTACGGAACATGCTTAACCTGCCCGGTAATGAGAAGCGCATCCCAGAAAGCAGGGTTCTGCAAGCAGGTGTTGGGTGCCCTGGGCCCCCCCGGGGAGGGGGGTGCTTCCCCCAGTGGAAAACCCAAGGGGCCAGGCTGGGAGCGGGCGGGGCTGTGTGCGAGGGGAAGGAAAGGCGGAGCTCTGAGGCAGCAAGAGAGGCGAGCACTGGGCGGGCTGTGGCGAAGGCGGGGTGAACCCCCGAAGGGCCTATCTACTGTAAAAAGTAAATAAATAAAACCTGAATTTTTAAAATGACTGGAAACGGTGATCAGCGTCTACACCTCCCTGCAAACAGTGTGTCCGGAATTGGTTCCTTCTGATGTTCAGATACGTCCGGAGTTTCTTCCTTCTGGCGGGTTCGTGGTCTTGCCTGACTTCAGGAGTGAAGCCGGAGACCTTCTCAGTGAGCTCTTACAGGTGGCGCGTCGGGAGCTGTTTCTTCCTCCCGGTGAGGCCGCAGACCTTCACAGTGAGCCATAAGCTCTTACAGGTGGCGCGTCGGGAGCTGTTTCTTCCTCCCCGTGAGGCCGCCGACCTTCACAGTGAGCGTTAAGCTCTTACAGGTGGCGCGTCGGGAGCTGTTTCTTCCTCCCCGTGAGGCCGCCGACCTTCGCAGCGAGTGTTACAGCTCTTACAGGTGGCGCGTAGCACAGCTGTTAGCTCCTCCCGGTGGGTTGGTGGTCTCGCTGACTTGAGGAGTGAAGCTACACACCTTGGCAGTGAGTGTTACAGGTCGTAAAGGTAGCGAAGGCCCAAAGAGTAAGCAGCAGCAAGATTTAGTTCGAAGAGCAAAAGAACAAAGCCCCCACAGCTTGGAACAGAACCCGCCACGGTTGGCGCTTGCTGGTTTCGGTGGCCAGCTTTTATGCCCTTATTTGGCCCCGCCCACATCCTGCTGATTGGTCCACTTTACAGAGTGCTGATTGGTCCATTTTACAGAGTGCTGATTGGTCCGTTTTTAAAGAGTGCTGATTGGTGCGTTTACAAACCTTTAGCTAGACACAGAGCACTGACTGGTGCGTTTTTACAATACTTTAGCTAGACAGAGAAGTTCTCCAAGTTCCCACCCCAGTAGCTAGACACAGTGCTGACTGGTGTGTTTACAAACCTTTAGCTAGACAGAAAAGTTCTCCAAGTCCCCACCAGACCCAGAAGCCCAGCCAGCTTCACCTCTCCACAGGACCAGAACGGGACCCTCAGGCGACTCCCTCTGCAAATCCGGGACTGTTTATCCGAGGCCCTCATCTTGGCTCCCTCTGTGCCTGTGTGTGGATTCCACGTGCATTTGGGGCCTGCCTTTCTCACCCAGCCTTGTAAGGTAGACTTCCCAACTTAGGGCTGGGGGTCTTGTGGCCCTCCCAGAAACACAGGCGCCCCCACCGCCCTGCTCCAGAGGCTGGGGCACATGTTTCTCTCTCCCTCCCTCCCACTCTGTCCCTCCCTGTCTCTCTCCCCACCTCCCTCTCTCCCCACTCCCCTCCCTCTCTCCCTACCCCCCCTCCCCATCTCCCTCTTGTGGGCGGCAAGCCAGCCAGGTGCCCAGGCAAGAGACCGAGGGCACGAGCTGTTTTAGTACAATAAAATATATAAAATAACAAGAGTTGTACTAGATATAGATCATAGATATGATTATATATAATTATTAATCATTAGTTTGTAGCAATTACTCTTTAACATTATAATAATCTTTGCTCTGCAATCATAACCTAGGAAAAACCAGGCCATACACAGATAGGAGTTGAAGGGGCACGCTAAAAAGTGACCAAAAAACGAGTGTGAGCTCTTTGTCAGGCCTGGGCAGGGCCACTAGAGGGCTCCTTGGTCTAGCGGTAAGGCCAGCGTCTGGGAAGGCGCCCGTTACCAAGCGGAGCATGGTCTATGGTAGTGTCAGTGCCAAAGAAAAGCATCCGCTACTTAGCAGATCGGAAAAGGCAGTCTCCCTTTCTCCAGGGGAGTTTGAAGAAGACTCTGGTCCACCACCTCTTGTAAAGGGCCCACCCGCAGTTATCCCGAGGCCTAATCGTCTCCCTGTGATGCTGTGCTTTAGAGCTCATGCTCCTGTTTCACTTTTATGTTCCACTCTGTACACCTGGCTCCGCCCTCTAGATAACAGTAGCAAACTTAGTAAAAGTATTAGTCTTTAATCTTTCTAAAAAGAGGATTAAAAAAAATGATGTGAGCTGTCCTCTCTCTCTCTGCCTCAGCTACCTAACAGGGAAGGGGCCCCTGTGCGGTGGACATGTGACTCACGTGACCTTATCAATCATTAAAGATGACTCACACTCTTTACCCTGCCTCTTTTGCTTTGTATCCAATAAATAACAGCGCAGCCAGGCATTCAGGGCCACTACCGGTCTCCGTGTCTTAGTGGTAGTGGTCCCCCGGGCCCAGCTGTCTTTTCTTCTCTTTGTCTTGTGTCTTTATTTCTATAATCTCTCATCTCTACACACGGGGAGAAAAACCCACAGACCCTGTAGGGCTGGCCCCTACACCTCTCTCCCCTCTCTCCCTCTCTCTCCCTCCCTCTCTCTCCACCTACCTCTCTCCCCCCTCCCTCCCTCCCCTCTTTCCCCCTCTCCCTCTCTCCCCTCTCTCCCCCCTCTCCCCCTCTCCCTCCCCTTTCCCTCCTCCCCTCTCCCTCCCTCTCTCCCCCTCTCCCTCTCTCCCCTTTTCCCCCTCCCTCTCTCCCCCCTCCTCCCTCTGTCTCCCTCCCTCTCTCCCTCCCTCTCCCTCTCTCTCTGTCTCTCCCCCTCCCTCTCTCCCCCTCTCCCTCTCCTCCCCCTCCCTCCCTCCCCATCCCTCCCTCCCTCTCTCTCTCCGCCATCTGCCTCTCTCCCCACTCTCCCTCTCTTCTCTCTCCCCTCCCTCTCTCTCTCTTTTCTGCCCTTCCCTCCTGTCCTCTCCTGGGCTGGAACTGCTTGGGAGCATCCTGACCTTGTCACTGCCCTTTCCCAGGCTCTCTGGCCCCTGCCCTAGGCTCTGAGCACCCAGCACCCATCTGTGGGCACATCCTGCCAGCTGATGCTCATGTTCCTGTCCCGTTTGGAGGGAGGTGGGGTCACTGCCTGCCTGAGTGGGTGTTATCTGAAGATGGTGTTTCTGTCTTATGCTGTGGCTGAAACGGGTCGTCTCTGGCCTGCCTGAGAGCACTCATCACTGTGTTCCTGAGATTCTTGCAGGCCTCCTTTCCTGGAATTGCAGGCTTCTAAAGAAGGGCCCTGCCTTGCTCCAGGTCTGTGGGGTCCCCCAAGCCTGGGCTCCTGGCTCCCCTGCTGGGAGGGGCCTGTTCCCTTGTACCGGCTGCCATGGCCTGTGAATGTGGGGTCACCCTGGCCGAACCCTCAAACCCTGCTGGGCCCAAGCACTTGCCGGGGTGAGGGCGGTGCTGGTGGTCAAGGTCCAGACAGCGGCCAGTGGTGACGCCCTCAGGCCCCTCCTGGTCCCCAGCCCCTCCCCAGCCGGAGGCTGACCCGCTTCTCACTGGGGCCCCAGCTGGGGGTTCGCTGTTGGTGGGGCCCGGGGAGCCCTGCTGTGGCCGCCACTCACCAGGTAGGCGGTGAAGGCCTCGGCGTCGGCATCCACCAGCGTGGTTAGCTTGGCCGAAGCCTCGCGGAAGGGCGGGATCAGGCGCCGCATCGTCGTGTCCAGGGACTGGAATTGGCGCCGCCCGTAGGTCATGAGGCCCACCATGGAGCCCAGCGCCGCACCCTGCGAGAGGGGTGGATGTGGGGGTCGCAGGGACCCCAGACGGCCCGGGACCGACCCCAGGAAGAGCCAGGGGCCCGGGTGATCCCTGCGGGGGTCCCACCCGTGTGGCCCCCACGTCTCCACCCAGGGCGGCCCCACCGCGCCCTCCCCACCCCGTGCCCTCCCCCCAACAGCGCCCTTCCCCCTCCCCGCCCTCCCCCCAACAACTGCGCCTCCCCTGCCCCTCCCCCCGCGCTCACCATGGCCGCAGCGGCCGCCGCCACCGAGCCGCCCCCGGGGGCCGCAGAGCGGGCACCCACCTCCCCCACGAAGGCGCGCAGGGACTTGCTGCCCAGGCCTCGCTCAGGCCCGCGCTCAGGGACCAGGTACCTGCAGGGTGGGCGCGGCTCAGCGGGTCTGGCCGGGGTTGGTGGGGGGAGCGCAGTCCTCCCGGGGCGGCCCCAGGCCCCACGCCCGTCTGCACCCACGGGGAGGTGACCACTCGGCTGAGAACCTGCGGGGACCCGGCCGGGGTCTCTGTGCCCCCCTCAGCCCCCAGACCCCGGCTTGGCGCAGGCCGAGTAGGCGCCCAAAGGGAGGCGCTGGGAGGACTCAGCCGGGTCTCCACGCAGGGACCCCAGCGCCCCGCAAGGCCCGAGAGGCAGAGCCCGGGAGGGGTGAGAAGAGGGCGGGAGGGCAGAGGCTCACTCGATGATCCGCTCCTTAGGGCTGAAGGGGCACAGGGAGTCCAGGCCCAGCCGGCTCACCACCTGGAAAAGGGGCTTGGAGTGGAAACGGCCTCGGCGCGTCTCCACCACCAGGAAAGCCTCGGAACCCGCGGGTCCCACCCTTGCGGCAGCCGCCCCCTGCCCCGAGCACACAGGTGCTTTTGCGGGGAGCAGGGCAGGGGCGTGGCTGGCACCCCCCACCTCTGCCCCGCCAGGAGCCCTGTGGGCCCCGCCCCAGCAGGCACCCCGTACAGGCTTCTGGAAACAGCCATCACCCTGAGTTGCCCTTGGGGAACCTGAGGCCCAGAGAAAGGAGTTGCCCCCTGGGGACCCCTCAGCAAACTGCTGCTCATGCTTCGCCGCCCCCCAGCACCACTGCCCCATCGCTGACGGGCGGGAAAGATTTTAATTCACCAAGTCTTCACATCTAACAAGTCCTCAAAAGCTGAGGAACAGCCCCAAGTCACCCACACATAAACTTGTATGCCACAAAAGTGAGTTTTACCTAAATTCAAAATAAAGTTGTGACAGTCCCATTTAAGATTAGAATTCATTCTGGGAAACCCATTCAGAACACGTTGGCTATGCGACCCCCACCCCACCCCACAGAGACGGACAGCAGCCGGGCGGGGTGGAGAGTGCCTCCCCGTGGCATAGAACCAGCAAGCCACAAGGCAAAGCCTCCTTCCGCAGAAAACCCCAGGAAGATGCCGGGCATTTTAAAGGCCTGGCTAAGCTAGCAGACAGGACATCATTCGAAACCAGACACGACCAGAAAGACGAGTCCGGAAAGGCCTGCCAGCCTGGAGCTGGGTCTGCCCTGGGGGCAACTGCCCCTCTCTGGCAGCCCCTGATGAGTGGGGGAGGTCTGGGGCCTTCAGAGTGGGGTCCGACTGGAGACCCCTGGAAGGTGACACCCCCAAGGATGAATTAGAAACAGCCACCCGCCAGAGGAAACAGTTGAGGTACTTCCCAGTCCCTGCCTTCCCTTTGGGTGAAGCAGGAAAAAAAAAAAAATCTCCTGGGAATTCCTAATCACAAGCCACCCTGACAGGGCTGCAGGCCTCACCCGACACCGAATTCACTCTTGTGTGGTTCCAGAACTCCAAGCCAAAAACTCAGCTTCAGGGGGTCCTGTGAGGCAGTGTCCACAAGCGCCAGCACAAACCCTCCTTGGAGGAGAAAACTTTGAACCCAGGTGTCCAAGAATTACCATAGATAAAATTCCACAGAGCATGCACTGGCAATCAAAAATCACACAACACAAAGCAAAGCAGCCTCACCACAAGGAGGCAGCACGCAGCCACGGGCACAGCCAGACCTGTGCAGGCCGCAGGCATGGGGCCCTTCAGGTAAAGAAGACAAAACCCCAGCCAGTCACGGTGGCTCACGCCTGTAATCCCAGTGCTTTGGGAGGCTGAGGCGGACGGATCACGAGGTCAGGAGTTCAAGACCAGCCTGGCCAAGATGGTGAAACCCCGTCTCTACTAAAAAAAAAAAATACAAAAATTAGCCAAGTGCGGTGGCACACGCCTGTAATCCCAGCTACTCGAGAGGCTGAGGCAGAGAACTGCTTCAATCCGGGAGGTGGAGGTTGCAGTGAGCCGAGATCACACCACTGCACTCCGGCCTGGGTGACAAAGTGAGGCTCCATCTCAAAAAAAAAAAAAAAAAAGAAGAAGACAAAACGCCACACTGGAAAGCAGACGGGGCCTCACACATAAGAAGACAAGGAAATGTGGAGAAGCGACAGCTGCTGCTTAGACAGAAAGGATGACGTTGGAATGCTGTCACTGGCTCCTAAAACTCTGGAATTTCAGTAATAAACAGGTATTTACCTACTCAATACTTTAAACACCTTCAAGTACTCCCCACAACGTATTAATTGCAAAAGGAAAAATAGTAACATTGCAGTGAAGGGTCCAGGAGGAAGGGGGTCGCCTTGGCAAGTGACGGGTCCACGTCGGCACCCTGAGAAAATGAGCATCATGGGGAGTCGGCGTCTCTGAGGAGGACACAATACCATCTATGCTTTTCCTGCCAAAAATGCGTAACTGGCTGGGCGTGTTGGTGCACACCTGTCGTCCCAACACTTTTAGGAGGCTGACGTGAGTGGATTGCTTGAGTCCAGGAGTTTGAGACCAGCCTGGGCAATAGAGCAAAACCCCATCTGTACAAAATTAGCCAGGACTACATAGTGGTCCTTGCCTGTAATCCCAGCACTTTGAGAGGCTGAGGTGGGAAGATCACCTGAGCCCTGGAGTTTGGGGCTGCAGTGAGCTGTGATTGTGCCACTGCACTCCAGCCTGGGTGACAGAGCAAGACCCTGTCTCAAAAGAAGTAACAAATTAAATTAAAATAAAAATGCACAACTACATCTGGCCACAAGCAACATCAGACTAGTCCCCACTGAGGCGCTTTTAAAAGTCTGTCCTTTGAAACTATGTCAAGGTCAATGAAGGACAAGGAAGACAGGAACAGTTGGAAGAAAGGAGAAAAGGTTGGCTCAGTGCTCTGTGTTACGTGAACTGGATCACGGATTGGAGGAGAAATCGCTATGATGGGAATCACTGGGACACTGAAGCAATTTGATTATGGCCTGAGGATTATTAGATACTAGGATTGTATCAGTGTTGAATTTCCTG
This sequence comes from Homo sapiens, assembly GCF_000001405.40. NCBI lineage: Eukaryota > Metazoa > Chordata > Mammalia > Primates > Hominidae > Homo > Homo sapiens. The sequence goes on from NT_187626.1 coordinate 7,990, forward strand.
ATTTTGATAATTACACTGTGGTTATGTAAGAGAATGTCCCTGTTCTTAAGAAACACAGCCTTAATAAATTAGGGGTAAAAGAGTACAATGTCTTCAACCCAACTTTTAAATAGTCCGGAAAAAAATATAATATGATTATACACAAATAAATGGGGCAAAATGCAAGCACTTGGAAAATATGGGTGGGAGGCAGGAGTGGAGGGCCACCTGTATCTTCTCTGTAAGAAATTATACAAAATGTAAAGTCACAAAAAATTTTGTTAACAGCCAAGAATACAACAGACAAGGCCACAAACGCACCAATGATTGAGGCTGGGTTTTGGAAAACCACTGTGAATCCAGAGGAAAGGAGTGGAAGAGAAAGTAAAGACGGAGGCAGAGAAGACATCAAAGCTGCTGCAGCATCACGGGGTCCTACAGCTAGAGAACTAAATAACTGGGTCAGCGATCTAATAGAAGAAAATATGCCCGAGACTAAACAAGGACGGAATCCACAAGTCACGAGAGCTAAATCAGTAAAAACACAAACAGACAAAACGTCCCCAAAAAATCCAGTTAAGTGGATTGTGCTTATTGCGAAAAACACACCTAAAACAAAGTGACCTTGAGTGAAAGGACAGACCAAGGCGGACAGCGGCTCTGCAGTGACCTCGAGTGAAAGGACAGACCAAGGCGGACAGCGGCTCTGCAGACGCTGCCACACCCCAGCAGGACCTGAGGCCCCGGTGGAACCCAGACTCCAGAAGCCTTGAGGCCCAGGTGTCCACAAGACAAAAGGAATCACTTTCTGAAGGAGCCGCTCCGTGGATGGGGATCTAAGTCCCATAGCTAAAGGCACACACATCCATGAGCTGCCAGTTCCAGGGGTGCAGGACGCCCCGATGGAGGTGGTGAGAGGAGGCACAGGCCCCTCCACGGGAGCATGGCCGGCCCAGGAGGCAAGACCAAGCAGAAAGGGTGGGGTGTCCTCTCCGTGGAATTTGCACAGCTGAGCATATCATAGGTCACAAAAAAACCTCAATAAGGTGTCCAAAATAAAAAGTGAAATCTCATCTTCTGAACACAAGTCAATAAAATGAAGGGGGAGGAGGGGGAGGGAAGCTGCGCCCCAGGGCTGTGAGCTCCGCCACCGCCTCCCCACCCTCCCTGCACGCCCCTGTCCGACCCTTCCTCGGCAGCCCGGCCCACCAGCCTGATCCGCTGCTCCTCCTCCAGGATGAAGAGGTTCTCCTTCTCGCAGTAGAAGGCGGCCGCATCCAGCAGAGCCTTCAGGGGCACCAGGCCCACCAGCTGTGAGCCCACCACTGGGAGGCTCAGCTCCTGCCAAGGCACAGGCAGCGTCACCCCCTGGGGGCTGGCTGGAGAATGGCCCTGGCTGGAGGATGTGGGGCCCCCGCCCTGCCCACGGGACAGATCGGCTCGCCCCTCACAGCAGCAGCGGCTGCTCCCGGGCTCACCTGTGCTTCTCGGCAGGTCTCCTCGTAGACCGTGTGCAGTGCCGTGACCTCAAAGTCCAGAAGATTGGTGGACACCTGAGCCAGGTTCTTCTCATCCAGGTACCAGCCAATGCCCTGAACTTTCTTCAGACGTCCTGGCTGCAAAGGAAGAGCGTTCCCCAGCCTGGACTAGGAAGCTCATCCTGCCTGGCCCTGCCAGTCTCTCCTGGCACTTGCATTCCCCAGCTGGACGGGGAGGAGCCTGTGCCTGGGTGGGTGCTGTGGTTCTCCTCCGTCCCTCACTGAGCTGGCCGGGGAGGGCCAGAGAAACTTCGCTTGCCACAGGGAAACGGAGGCCCCAAGGGTCAGACACCGGAGGCCCACCCCGGCAGGCCCCCGCCCAGCCTAGGCCCTGCCTTCCAGCCACGCTGTGTCCTAGATGTTGGGGGAATGCTGAGGGGTGGGGCCCCAGGCACCCCCATGCCGTTCTCCCATCCCATCTGCTCCGCTCCCGACAAGTCCCCTCAGCCCCGCACTTGTCGGGGTGACTGAGTCCACGTGGGGGGACTCTGACCTCTGCCCTTGGCCGGGGCCTAAAGCAGGACTTAGAGGTCCCTGTGCTTTTGTGCTGAGTCTGCAGGTCGGGAAGCCGGGTCCCAGGACCTTGGCTGTTTGTGGGACCGGGGTCTCTGAGTGGGGAACAGATGGGCAGGTGGTCCCCCCCGCTTTCTCCGGGTATCTATACCCGGAGTGACGCTCAGACCGGGTGACCACTGCTGTGCAGACGTGGAGGGAAAGGCCTGGGGGCACCTGAAGGTTTGTAGGGGTGTCGGGGCTCCCAAGGCATCTGGAGGGATATGGGGGGCCCCTGAGGGCACCTGGGACTCCGGAAGTCGCTGTTTCCCAGCAGTATGGAAATGCTGCCACATGTTAACAAAGGGAAGTCCTGCCTCGTTCCCTGGAAAATCCCCAGGAGGCCAGAGCTCCCCAGCTTCACTCCGCCCCTGACCTGCCGACCTGCGCGGTCCCCGCACGGTGTGGACGCGGAGGCTGGGCCGGTCTGCAGGTGGGAGGCCGAACCCTGTCCGGCCGGTGCCCCATCCCCACCGACCTCCCCGCCTGAGGCTCTCAGCCTCTAACCCTTTCCCGAGGGGCTGGGTGGGGCTCCATGGGGTCAGTGAACGGGGTCACCTGGTCCTTCCCGCGGCCCTGCTCCCGCAGGTTGAGCGCGATGCGGTGGGCTTGCTCCTTTGTGCCGAGCAGGTTGATGTTAAAAGCAATGAGGAACTTCCTCGCCCCCGTGGCCGTGGCCCCCCAACTGGGGACAAAGGAGCTGGGACCAAAGTCGGGCGCCCAGTCGGCCTGCTGGAGCTGTGAGCAAGTTCGCTCTGGGGTGAGACATCCCCCACGGGAGGGAACAGCCCCCCGGGGTCCCGGGAAGGAGGGGCCCGGCCCAGCCACCCCAGCCAGGACAAAGGGGCAGGTCCACCTCCTTCCCAGGCCCGACCGCCCGGGGTGGGGGCACCTTCTTAGGGAGGGCCTCGTACTCCCCGGCCCGGATGGCCGGCAGGGTCCGGCGACTGTCCATCCTGGCTGCCTCGCCGTACAGGTAAACTGCAGGAGAGCCCGGCGGTCAGGCCTGGACCGGCAGGGGGTCCAGGACTCAGTTCCTGGAGGACGCAGGTGGAGGGGCTCCCTCCAGCCTAACCCAGGAATGGGCCTCTACTGCACCCTCTCCTGGGGAGTGCCCGTTCTCCGCCTTGGATGGATGCGGGTGGTCCCAGTGGACCCTCAGTGTGGGCCAGCACCCCTGCCCACCCCCTCCTCAGAGGGCCCTGAAAAGGCGAATTGCAGGGTTAGGATGGAACATGTGGGACATGCTAACGGCAGGACGTTCATGCTTCTGTTTTCTTTGTATGATAAACAGAACCGCAAGCAACCACATAAATATAACGGCAGAGAAGAGGAAAAACTCGTGAACCCGCACACCAGTGTGACTGTGACGTGGGCCCTGCGTCGGGATTTCCTTCGGGGGGACTGGCATGACCGTGACGGGGGTTACGTGTGCCCTGCATGCCGGCGTGACCGTGACGGGGGTTACGTGTGCCCTGCACGCTGGCGTGACTGTGACCTACGTCCCTGCCTCGGGATTTCTTTCCAGGAGCGCTGGGTTGGTGCAGCCTAGGGGTGGGTATGCACTTTGTCCCGTTTGTCTCTGTTTGTTTCATATCATTTTCTTGATTTAGTTAATTTCCCAAAGTGAAATTATTCTGCTCTAGAAGGCGTGGACTTTAAGGCTCTTGGTTTGCCTGTGCAGCTGCTCTGCGGTGTAGTCTGAGGAGGCCCCGGGCCTGCACGGCCGCAGGCGAGGCTGCGTTTATTTCGGTATTGAGGGAGCTGCGCTTCTGCATGTTGGCTTTTTGGAACACTCTGCCCTTGCAAGAGCAGTCAAGGGCAGGGAACTGGGGGATACAGAAGGAGCCAATAACCCACACCAATGAGACGGGAGCAGAGTGAGGGGGGCGGGGGGGCACGCTCACCTGGCACGTCCAGCTCCTCTGCCAGCCTCTGGCCAAAGGCCTGGGCGCAGAGCACACACTCATCCACGCTGACGCCCCTCACGGGGATGAAGGGGCAGACGTCTAGGGCCCCCATGCGGGGGTGCTCTCCTGCAGAGAGACGGCGAGGCCGGGCAGGAGGCCAGGTGTGGGAGCGGGTGGGAGCTCCACGGGGTTCTCGGACCCTCTGTCCTCTCCGGCCTGGGCAGCCCCCAGTCCACACACCCAGCAAGCTGCTCACACTGACCCACAGGGAGGAGGCCGGCCCTGGGCGCTCCCAGCCCTGCCCCAGCGGCAGCACCAGCCCTCCCGGGACAACGGAAGTTCCCGCACCGTCCTCCCAGCCAGTGTGGGGGAGGTCCTTCAGCCCAGGAGCAGCAGCACCTGAGCGGGTGGTCTGGCATCTCTGGGATAAACCTGTCCCTCTCCTAACACTCACAAAAATAACTTTGAAAGGGGTGCAAAGCTCAGCTCTCAGGCAGCCCCGGCCAGGCCAAGAGGGGGCGCTCGAGGCTGGGTTCCGGCCACCCCAACCCCCTCCCCTGAAGCCGAGAATCCACTCTGCGTTTCCAGAGCATTCTTCTCACTAGCTGAGTCCCTCGCTGTGGCTACACCAAGCCGTGGGTCGGCGCCCACCCCAGGGGACGCCAGCCTCCCCCGCCTTTGCCGCCACCGCCCAGGGCTGGCCACTTAGAGATAAGCTTCTCATCCATCCACCCCTCAGGATCACTGTGGATCCCTGGCCTCTCATGAGCGGCCCACAGCCCAGCCCCTGGCCAGCGCCCGTGTGTCCACACACCTTTGGCCCTGCCTGCCCACCGAGGTGTTTGGCTTGTGGGCTGTTGACAGGTCAGCTTCCAGGCAGCCCTTCCCCCACCAGTGCCTGCTCCAAGACTGGCTCTCAGCCCCCTTGACGAGTGGGCAGGTGGACGGGGCCCACAAACCTTCCCCGGCGTGGCCCCCTCCCCCCACCCAGCCGTGAAGGTGGCCCGGTGCTGTGGGAGCGTGGCGACCTGGGGGTCCCCCAGAGCACAGCCCTGCAGGCAGGATGGGGGCCATGACCCCCACACTCCAGGGTCCTCCTAGGAGAGCCAGAGCCAGCCCCACTGGACCCCACGTTCCAAGCCTGGGCCCCGGGCCTACCCCCTCTCCCAGGACACCAGGACAGGGCTCGGCCCTGACATTCTGAGACACGGCAGCCACAGGAGAGCCCAGAGACCTCACCTTGGTGCCTGCTCATGTCGATAAGTCGGGAAGCTACCCGGGCAGCGTTGAGGGCCCCCTCCACCACGCACTCCGGCGGCCCCACGAAGGTGTACACGGTGCGGTTGGTGGAAGGGCCTGCGTCCACATCCAGCAGCACGCAGCCCGGGGTCTGTGTGATGGCTCCAGAGATGGCGTCGATCACCTGGGACACAGGCCCGGCCCCCACACCTCAGTCTCCCCGTTTGAAAGAAGGAAAAGGAGCTTGGAGGTGGCTGCACCCCGAGACACAAATGGGGGCTGAGGAGGCGGGCCAAGCCTTTGGGGGCTCTCCGACAAGCTGAGCTCCCACCGAAAGTGCCCGCACACAGCGGCCGCCCGGGAACCCTCACAGCAGCCACAGTCACTCCAGCCCAAGCACAGTCCCCACAAGGGGCTGCAGGTGGTGCCTCCAGGAGAGACTCACGGGCTCTGCTCCGACAGACAGATGCCAGAGACGTGGCCGGGGATCCAAGAAGGTGACCACAGGCGCAGGTCACAGAGGGGCCGGGACCCCCACCCCCGAGCAGGGGAGGGACAGATCACCAGCATGGGGGAGGGGCCTGAAGGGCCTAGAACCTTCCGGGTGGCAGGACTGCTGGGAGCAGGGGCTCAGCCCCAAATCTTGCCCTGTCCCAGGGCCTTGGTGCTGGCTGGAATCCCGGCATGACGAGGCCTCCCTGCACCCCTGCGGGTGACCCCTGTGGCCTGGTGCTGCCCTCTGGGAGGCCTTCCAGGTGGCCCTTAGGGCCTGCATTTGTTCCCGGAGGAGCCTGGACCTCAGGGCTGTGGAAGGCGAGAGGCCGGACCTGGGGGCCTGCTGCCCCCTCTGTGCCTACTTCGTTTTGGGTCCAGTGAGGATGGTGGCTGCAGGGTGGGGGCTCAGCAAGCTAACTCCAGTGGAGATGGAGAGGCGGCAGTGGGGACCATGCTGGGCCACCTCGTGTGACCTCACACAGCCCTTTCAGTCAGTGGCAGGAGCCCCATTTTCAGGGGGGAGCACCAAGGCCCTTTGAGGCCCAGAGATCTGCCCAACCCCCCACCGAAAGCACCCGAAAGGCCCCTGAAGCCACAGCCAAGCCTCAGCCCCCACAAGCACCAGTCGTGTTCCACCCACCCCTGGGTCAGGCACTCCCCAGGGCCCTGAGCCACGGGATGTCCTTGGGGCCCACGGGCAGCGGCTCTGCCCATCCTGGGAAGACGACCCGGGACACCAAGCCCACCACCTCCTCCATGGCCTGGGCCTTAGCCACTCAAGCTGCCCCATCAGCCCTAGATGCTTGACCAGCTCCTCGGGCCTCACCTCCTGGTTCTTCCCCTCCGAAAAGTTGGGGACGCATTCCACCAGCTGGGACATGGCCAGCACCTTGATCCAGATGCTCCTCTCTGGGCAGATGGAAGGACAGGGCCAGTGCTCCGCAGCCGCCGCCAGGGCCTTTATACGCTCACCGGCAGCACCTCCCCACCGGCTTCTCATTAACCAGCAAGGCACAAGGAGCAGTGGGGCCAAGGTCCCTGTGCAGCCGCGGAGTGGGGTGCTGCAGAGCCACCCCGGGTGCTGTTGACCCAGAGGGGATGGCTCCACTCAGCCAGAGTGTGGGTTCCCGGAAAAGAAGCACATGCCAGGGTGAAGGGGCATGTGCCGAGGACCCCCAGTAGCATCAGGCCAGCCTGGCTGGAATCCTGTCGTGACGAGGCCTCCCTGTGCCCCTGCGGGTGACCCTCGTGACCCTGTGCTGCCTTCTGGGAGGCCTTCCAGGCAGCCCGTGGGGCCTGCGTTTGTTCCTGGAGGAGCCTGGACCCCTGGGGCTGTGGAGGGCGAGAGGCCAGCATGAGGCCCTGGCTCGCAGCACCCAACTGAGGTCAGCTCAGCTCAGACAGGAGAGTGCAGGGGAGCACGCGTGTGAGAGTGAGTGAGGATACACGTGAGGGCAGGGCAGGGGAACACGTGAGAGTGCAGATACACGTGAGCACAAGGCAGGGGAGCACATGTGTGAGAGCGTGGATACATGTGAGCACAGGACAGGGGAACACGTGTGAGAGTGAGCGAGGATACATGTGAGTGTGGGGTAGGGGAGCACACGTGTGAGAGTGCAGGTACACGTGAGCATGGGGCAGGGGAAGCAAGCATGTGAGAGTGAGTGCAGATACATGTGAGCGCAGGGCAGGGGAACACGCGTGTGAGAGTGCAGATACACACGAGACGGGCATGTGCGATATGGGGGAAGGCAGCTGAGACCCCAGCTCTCCCCAGCTGCTGCTCCCCTGACTACAGGCTCCCCACGAAGTCAGCGGCACCAGGGCCGTGCTCAGAAGGGAGAACTCCTGTCTCCACGTTCAGCCGCTGCCCACTTGCAGTGCTTTTATCATTTTCTCTTTTTTTTTTTTTTGAGACAAAGTCTCACTCTGTCAGCCAGGCTGGAGTGCAGCGGCACAATCATGGCTTCCTGCAGCCTTGGTCCCCAGGCTCAAGAGGTCCTTTCACCTTAGCCTCCTGAGCATCTGGGCCACAGGCACACACCACTACACTGGCTAACTTTTCCATTTTTGGTAGACATGGTGATATGGTTTGGCTGTGTCCCCACCTAAATCTCATCTTGAATTGTAGAGCCCATAGTTCCCACGTCATGGGAGGGACCCGGTGGGAGGTCACTGAATCACGGGGGCGGCTTTTTCCGGTGCTGTTTTTGTGATAGTGAATGGTCTCACGAGATCCGATGGTTTTATAAAGGGCAGTTCCCCTGCACACACCCTCTTGTAAGACGTGACTTTGCTCCTCTTTCACCTTCCACCATGATTGTGGAACTGTTGAGTCCATTAAACTGCTTTTTCTTTAAAAATTACCCAGTCTTGCGTATGTCTTTATCAGACAAATACACATGAGGTCTCACCACGTTGCCCAGGCTGGTCTCAAACTCCTGGGCTCAAGCGATCCTCCTGCCTCGGCCTCCCAAAGTGCTGGAATTACAAGTGTGAGCCACTGAGCCCAGCCCCACTTGAAGTTCTTTTTTTTTTTTTTTTTTTTTTTTTTTTGAGACAGAGTCTCACTCTGTCGCCCAGGCTGGAGTGCAGTGGTGCGATCTTGGCTCACTGCAAGCTCTGCCTCCCGGGTTCACGCCATTCTCCTGCCTCAGCCTCCAGAGTAGCTGGGACTACAGGCACCCGCTACCACACCCAGCTAATTTTTTGTATTTTTAGTAGAGATGGGGTTTCACCATGTTGGCCAGGATGGTCTCGATCTCTTGACCTCATGATCCACCCACCTCGGTCTCCCAAAGTGCTGGGATTACAGGCGTGAGCCACCCACTTGAAGTTCTTAATGGAACCCCAACCATGTGGGCCTTAGGGACCCCACCTCCGTGGCTACTCAGGGGGACTGGGATGAGACAGGAGCCAGGTAAGCCCAGAAACCTTCAGAGGCTGGGAGCACACAGAGTTCCCCAGCCAGGGCTCCACGTCTGGAGGCTGGGAGTGGGGGATGGGGTCAGGGATCTGTGTCTGGAGGGAGACCAGGAGGGGAGGATGGGGTCAGAGCTCTGTGGAGCCTCAAGGGGAGGATGGAGTCAGGGATCCATGTCTGGAGGCCAGGAGGGGAGGATGGGGTCTGTTGAGGGCCGCACTGCATTCCCTCGAGAAACCATCTGCTGAAGGCCTGACCTCCAGCATGGCAGACTGGATTACCCCCAGCACCGCCGACTGGATTGGATGTGGAGATGGACAGGGCGGTGAGAAGAGGGAGAGACACCAGGGATGCACTCAGAGAAAAGGCCAGGAGGACAAAGCAGGGAGGCGGCCGCCTGCAAGCCAAGCAGAGAGACCTCAGACAAACAGAATCTGCAGACACTTTGATCTTGTACTCTGGGCCTTCAGGACTGTGATAGAATAAATTTCTGTGGTTTAAGCTGCTGGGTCTGCGGTACTTTGTGACGGCAGCCGCACACATCCAGGGTCCCGAGGTGCGGGGCACTGGAACATTCTGGCTGTGAGGGTTGCCCACACTGGGCTGGCACCTTCATCCTCGCACCACAGCAGAGTGACCAGAACCATACACTCGTGACCCAGGACGGTGCCAAGGCCAAGACCTGGCCCTGTCCTCCAGCCCAGCAAATCGCCTGTCAGGAGAGAGGGTTGGGGCGGGAGGCCCCGGCAGGAGCTGCATGCATTTCCTACCCAGCTACTGCTGGACCAGGGCTTGGCTACAGCTGAGAACACGAGGGGGAATGGGGCTGGTTGTGACGCCGGCGCTGGTTCTCAGGGGCAGCACTGAGACATTAGAAATGCTGGCAGGTGCTGTAAATAGCTCCTGAATCGGGGACCCTAAGGGACCCCACTTACAGGAGAAAGAATCTCAGCTATGCCCACACCAGGGTTTCCACCATCTCTCCCCAGTGACAGGCCCAGGGCTACTGATTCCAGGGCCAGGCAGGCCATACACTTTTCTAACCCAGAGTATGAGACAAACATAGTGGGCCCATAAGTAAATGACTGAATACGGAAGCTGTGTGCAGGAGAATCCGAGTTCACTTGGGCCGGTGCCCACCTCCGTCCCAGGAGGTGGAAATCATCCCCTAGAAGCTCACTGCCCTCCCGTCTACAGATGGAAGAGCTGGTGCCCAGGGCCCGGGTGCTGCCCCAGGAGACATGGCCACGCCAGCCACTTCAGGGCCACCCTCCTCACCCTGTTCCCATTTCTCCTCATTTTAATAGTACAGTAAGAAAAAGTGCAGGAATGGGCTTCACCCTCTCTGCACGGGAGCCCTCCAGAAAGTTCCACGTGCACCTGCAGCTTAGGGGCCTAGGGGGTGGCACTGCCAGGGTGGGGGTCTAGCTTCTGACCACAGGGCCCCCCCAGGCTAGCCCAGCACAGTGGACAACTTGGGCCCCACTATATGGACAGAGGGTGAGCCATGGGCACCGCCCCAGCCAAAGCCCCCAGGGGCCACTCCAAGCCAAGCCCAAGAGCCTGGAAGACACTAAGGCTGTTTGGGGGACCCATGGCCAGAGGCTGAGAACCCCATTCTTCTAGAGACCCAGAGCACAGGGGCTGAATGCCACCTGCCCACCAGACTGTTCCTGTATAACTCATATGGTTTTTGTTTTCTGGTTTACAATGCTTTGACCTCTCGGGGGCCTTACTGGCTAGGTGGAGACTGCCCTCCCAGGACTGGCTAATTCCTAGAGACAGCAAAAGGTGCCTGCAAACAGAGCTCCCCTTTAAGGCACAAGCCAACCCACCTGGAGCCTGTAAACCCAACCACCCCTTATCTGACTCACTCACCAAACCCATGTTCCTCTGCCCTCAATCACCCTGGGGCAGGACGGTGGTCAACTAGACACCACCCCATAGCCCGGAGCCCAGGGAAATTAACCTGTCCAATCCTAAACTTGCTCCTTCGTGCCTACCCTCCCTGGCCTCTCTTCCCAGGGAAACCCCCACAGAGCCTCTGGCCATGCTCTCCCCTCTCGCCTTCTGCGTCCTGTTGCCACGGCGCCCCGCCCCGGGCGGCCCTGTGTGGCACGGTACGTGCCCTCCTGTGGTTTAAGTAGCTGGGTCTGCAGTACTTTGTGACACACTCTCCTTTAAAGTCAGGAGTCCTGTGTCTGTATCCCACCACACCCAACTGAAATAAATCCTGGTGCGTTTCATCACAGCCCTTCCTATCCCAGGCTTGCTGAAAGTATCCACTCGCTGGCACCGAGGGGAAGGGGGCATGGACCACCTGGCCGAGACTGTGTGGCTGCAGCCCTAGGCCTGGGGCCCAAAGCTCCTGGCCCAGCCACAGAGCCAGCCCAGTGCCGGCGTGGCCACAGGCGACCCTCAAAGGTAAGGCCAGAAATCAGCACCCAGCCACAGAGCCAGCCCACTGCCGGTGTGGCCACAGGCCACCCTCAAAGGTAAGGCCAGAAATCAGCACCCAGCCAGAGCTTCTCAGGCCAGTGGGCCCCTCGTCTGCCGGGCATGAGGTTGGGCCCGCACCCCAGGATCCAGCCCATCTGCACCTGGGAGCTGAATGTTGTAGCTACCAGCCAGAGTGGGGTCCCCAGCAGTCTCCATCGAGCTCTGAACTGTTAATGTGTGACAGCCCTGCCATCCTCGCCACTATTGCTGAGACAGTGTGAGGACCAGGCTGAGCGTGCTGGCTTGTGCAGCATGAGCCAAGACTCCCCTGAGACACGGTAAATGCCCCTCGTTCCAGGGCACTTTGGAACTGGGTATCTCCTCAGCCCCAAGGTCCCGCCAATTCACTGAGGGCCCGTCTTCTCGCTGTTCCGGCCTCCGGCAGGGAGATGACCCAGGGGGAGGGGAATTGATGGGTCAGCTCCCCAGCTCCCCGCTCCGGGATGGTGCAAGGTGCACCTGACATGGTCTCCGGGGCTCCCCTGTGCTCGTCCACCCCCAGCACCCCCATGGTCTCCGGGGCTCCCCGGCGCTCGCCCACCCCCGGCACCCCCACGGTCTCGGGGCTCCCCTGTCCTCGCCCACCCCCAACACTCCCACGGTCTCTGGGGCTCCCCGGCGCTCGCCCACCCCCGGCACCCCCATGGTCTCCGGGGCTCCCCTGTGCTCGCCCACCCCCAGCACCCCCACGGTCTCGGGGCTCCCCGGCGCTCTCCCGCCTGCGTTGCCACTGCTCAGCCCTAAGGTCCGGGTTCACTGTAACGCGGCTGTTGCCCTTTCGAATTCTTCGCTTTTGAACAAGGGGCTGCGTTTCCATTTTGCCGGCAGGGGTGCGCAACCATCCGCCAGAACCAAGTCCTTGCCCCAGCTCGGCATTCGGGGAAACCCAAACTGGGACAGGACTCGCCGTCCCGGGCGGGAAAGCGGGTGGGCGTGGAGGCCCGGGGGAGGGGAAGGGGGGAGGGGGAAGGGGAAGGGGGAAGGGGGAAGGGGAAATGGGAAGGGGAAGGGGGAAGGGGAAGGGGAAGGGGGGAGGGGGAAGGGGAAGGGGGAAGGGGAAGGGGAAGGGGGAAGGGGAAGGGGGAAGGTGGAAGGGGGAAGGGGAAGGGGAAGGGGGAAGGGGAAGTTGGAAGGGGAAGGGGAAGGGGGAGGGGAAGGGGGGAGGGGGAAGGGGAAGGGGGAAGGGGGAGGGGGAAGGGGGAGGGGGAGGGGGAGGTGGGAGGGGGAGGGGGAGGGGGAGGGAGAGGGGGAGGGGGGTAGGGGGAGGGGGAAGGGGAGGGGGGAACCGGGAACGGGGGAGGGGGAAGCGGGAACGGGGGAAGGGGGGAGGGGGGAAGCGGGGAGAGGGGGCCCCTGCCGGCTGCGGCTCCTTCCTGGCTTCCCTCCTTGAGCACCGAGCGGCGCTTCCTGCAGGCGGAGCAGCGGCCGAGGCGCCCTCCACGCCCTCAAAGAGCCAGAGGTAAAGGCAGACATGCAAACGGATGATTTTAATGAGGGGTGAGAAGCACTCCGCAGGTGCGGGCAGCGGCGGGCTGCGGTCGGGGCCCAGCACCGGTGGGAGCGGGGCCTTCTCTGGCCTCGCGCGCGGGGGACGCGGCCCTTTCCCCTCCGGGGGGACGCGCAGGAGGCACCGCGGCCCCGGGTTGGAACAAACGCGTTTACTGCAGGCAAGGCGGCGGGCGCGGGGCGGCTCACCAGGCGAAGAGGGGCTTGCCGTCCTCCTTGGAGAGCTCGCACAGGCAGTTGAGCAGCAGCAGCGAGTCGCCCAGGAACTTGGGGGGCACCACGTCGATGACCAGCTTGCGCAGCGCGGCCGGGCTGCTGTGCAGGGGGTTGGCGCGCAGGTCGGGCCGCTGCTTCAGGATTCCGTAGGTGTTGATGAGGAACTCGCTGAACGCCGGGTGCACGTCGCGGCTGTAGCCCAGCTTCTCCAGGCGCGCGCTCAGGGCCAGGTAGCGCTGCGTCAGCTCGCGCAGCTTCCTCTCGTCCACGGAGCCGTCCAGAGACTTGGTGGAGGTCTGCGGGCGCAGCGCATGGATGGGGGTGGGGGGCTCGGGGCCCTCGGACGGGGACTTCCAGGCCCAGGGCCGATCCCTGCCCCGCCCGCCTGGGTCCCCGGGGTCCCCTCCTGCGGACAGTGCCCGGCCAGGAGCCAAGATCTGGGGGCCGCACAGGAACGGACCGAGCGCCCCGCACCCTCCTGGCCGCGCCCTCCCCACGGGGCGCACCTGCTCGATCTTCTCGGGGATGTTGGCCACCGTGAAGCCGTAGAGCCGCGTCACGCCCGGGAACACGTAGGCCAGGATGCGGCGGTCCAGCTGGAAGGCGATCTCGCCCACCACGCGCGCGTCCTTCTCGGCGCCCGCGAAGCTCTGGATCTCTGGGGGAGGGAAGGCCGGGGACAAGGTCAGGGGAGCGCGAGGATCCACTGCCCTCGAGGGTGCCCTCGGCCACGTGGGGGGCGGCTCCTCCACCCCCCTCCTCCCACCTGCCGCCACCCCCCACTGTCTGGCAAATAGAATCTGAAAGAAAAGGAGCTTCTTAAAGTGCCAAAGGGCAAGCCAGCCTTCCCTTCCCCCTGTCCTCGGCTCCCTTCTGTCCCTTTGCGATGAGGTAAACCTTTTAATCTCGGGGGTGGGGACTGGTCCCCTGTCACGCGGGAGTCTGCCCCAGCGTCGGCCCCTGCGAGGACAGAGGAACCCGGCCCTGGAGGTCTGAGTTGGGACGGGTCCCCTCCAGTGAGGACGCCCGTGGAACAGGGCCGGTCGGCTTGGCTGGGAGGAAGGGGGAGAGTTCTTCTGTCTTGGCAACCTCTGGGCATCAAAGGCTGCTTTAATGTTTATTCAATAAAACTGCTTCATTCTTTCCTACCTCTGAGAAAAGGACCGCTGGGTTGGCAGGACTTTTTTTTTTTTTTTTTTCTTAGACAGAGTCTCACTCTGTCATCCAGGCTGGAGTGCAGTGGCGCCATCTCCACTCACCGCAACCTCCGCCTCCCCGGCTCAAGCGATTCTCCTGCCTCAGCCTCCAGAGTAGTGGGACTACAGCCGCGTGCCACCACACCCAGCCAAGTTTTTGTATTTTTAGTAGAGCTGGGGTTTCACCCTGTTGGCCAGGCTGGTCTCGAACTGCTGACCTCAGGTGATCCGCCCACCTCAGCCTCCCATAGTGCTGGGATTACAGGCGTGAGCCACCGCACCTGGCCCAGGACATTCTACTTTAATTACTTCCTCAACATTACTTAGGAGACTGCAATGCTCCCACAAAACCTGCTTCCGAACCCCCCTCCCCAGGACAGCCTCTGATGGCATCCGAGTCCGTAACAGCACATGACCTTGTCCATCTTTTTCCTGGAGGACGGGAAACAGTATCTCATTTGCATTTCACTAACGACTAGTGATTCGAGCATCTTTTCACGTGCTTATTGGCCATTTATATACTGTATCTTCTTTGGAGAAATATCTATTCAGGTCCTGTAGTGATTTTTCATTGGATTGTTTGTCTTCTTACTGTTGAATTGTCAGAGTTCTTAAATATTCTGCATACTAGTCCCATTTCAAACGCACAATTTACAAATGTTTTCTCCCATTCTCCGGGTTGGCTTTTCATTTTTTTGATACTGTCCTTTGAAGCACAAAAGTTTGTTTTTTTGTTTTGTTTTACTTTTGATGAAGTCCAATTTGTCTGTTTCTCTCTTTTGCTCATGCTTTTGATGTGATCTCTAAGAATCCATTGCCAAATCCAAGGTCACGAAGATTTACCCCTATGTCTTTTCTACAAGTTTTCTGGCCTCAGCTCTTTGAGACCTCTTAGGTCTTTGATCCATTTTGAGTTAATTTGTGTATGTGGTGTGGAGTAAGGCCCAGCCTCATTCCTTGGCATGTGGATACCTCTTTGTTCCAGCACCACGCGTTAGACAGTATTCAGTCCCTCCTGAATTGTCTTGGCACTCTTGTTGAAAACCATCTATGTACAGTTTTATTTCTGACCTTCCCATTCCATTGCATTGATCTGTATGTCCATCGTTATGGCAGTACCACAGTCTTGTTAACTGTAAGTTTTATAGTCAATTTTGAAACTGGGAAGTATGAGTCCCTCAATGTTCTCCTTTTTCAAGATCGTTTTACTTATTCTGGTTCCTTACACTTCTATATGAATTTCAGTTTCTGCTTGTCAATTTCTGTAAAGAAGCCACTAGGATTCTGATTGGGATTGCATGAATCTGCAGATCCAATGTAATCCATATCAAAATTATTGATTTTTGAACAATATAAAGTCTTCTAATCTGTGAACACAAGGTGTTTTTCTGTTTATTTATTTATTGTTTGTTTGTTTGTTTTTTTGAAGAAAGGGTCTCGCTCTGTCACCCAAGCTGGAGTGCAGTGGCACGATCTCAGCTCACTGCAACCTCTACCTTCTGGGCTTGAGTGATCCTCCCACCTCAGCCTCCTGAATAGCTGGAACTACAGGCATGCACCACCACGACCAGCTAACTTGGGTGGTGGGGGGTTGGTAGAGATGGGGTTTCGCCCTGTTGCTGAGGCTGGTCTTGAACTCCTGGGCTCAAGAGATCTGCCCATCTCAGCCTTCCAAAATGTTGGGATTACAGGTGTGAGCCACTGTGCCTGGTCATTTATGTCTTCTTTCATTCCTTTCAGTGATGTTTGTAGTTTTCAGTGTATTTCTTTCCCAATCACTTTTCAAGACTGCAGAAGAGGTATGTCAACACACTGCACAGAAGTGTGTTAGGGCCAATGAGGGGTGTGGAAGAGCAGGTGTAATCTCCTCCTTCTGTATCAATGTATTTCTCTCATCAAGAATCAAGCTCTTGGCCAGGTGCGGTGGCTCATGCCTGTAATCCCAGCACTTTGGGAAGCCGAGGTGGGTGGATCACAAGGTCAGGAGTTCGAGACCAGCTTGGCAAACATGGTGAAACCCCATCTCTACTAAAAATACAAAAATTAGCCAGGCATGGTGGCGGGTGCCTGTAATCCCAGCTACTGAGGAGGCTGAGGCAGGAGAATGGCTTGAACCCGGGAGGTGGATGTTGCAGTGAGCCGAGATCGCACCACTGCACTCCAGCCTGGGCGACAGAGCGAGACTCCATCTCAAGAAAAAAAAAAAAAAAAAGAATCAAGCTCTTTCTCCCATCCCCCCACCAAGGCAAAAATGAGGTAGAAGAAACATCCTATAGAAGAGAAATGATTCTAGTATAGGTTCTAGAAATGATTTCTAGTCCAACCTGGGCTCTGTAAGATCCAGCCAAAAACCTGTTCTTCAAAGGAAAAAGGCCATACATTGATAAACCTCTAGCCAGACTTAGGGGAAAAAAGAAAGAAGACAAAAATTACCACTAGCAGAAATTAGAGATGCCACTACCACAGATTCTACAGACATAAAAAGGATAATAAGGAAGTATTAGGAATGACTTTATGCCAATAAATTTGACAACCTAGATGAAATTGACCAATTCCTTAAAAGACACAAACTACCAAAGTTCACTCAAGAAGAAATAGATACTCTGAATAGCCTTATATCTGATAACCTTACAGGTCACATTTGACAGTTTAAAAGTAAACAGACTTCCAAACTGGCCTGCTTGGGAAGGTCTTATGATTAATGGTCCCTGAGTAAAGAATCTTATCATGATTTCCTCAGATTGCTGATGTGCTGATTAATGGACTGAAAAGATGCTGATTTATTCCTGAATCATAAAGGTTTACTGACTGTCTTGCACAGAGATGTGTTGACCTGTATGTTGTCATCTGTAGCCAATGCTTGTAACCTCTGTGTTGTACCCTCCAAAGAAAAGGACAACATGAGTATGAGGAGTCCTTTCTCTCCTCCTAGCCTCTCCTGTAGAAGCCTTCTGACTTAGATATGAGTATGAGTCCTTTCCCTCCTCTTAGCCTCTCCTATAGAAACCTTCTGACTAGAAAAGGACAACATGAGTATGAGGAGTCCTTTCCCTCCTCCTAGCCTCTCCTATAGAAGCCTTCTGACTTAGACATGAGTATGAGGAGTCCTTTCCCTCCTCCTAGCCTCTCCTATAGAAACCTTCTGACTTAGATTCCAGAACACTCTCAACTTTGTTGGTGTGTTCCTCTGGGTTGATCCTCACATTTGGCTTCCAATAAACCTTTATCGAATTATTTGTCTCAACAGCCTTAATTTCAGTTGACATTATCAATAAAATGGAATTTGTAGGGGGAAAATGTTCCCACAGAGACCATTCAAGGCTCGGGTAGTTTCAGCGGTGAATTCTACCACTTAAGGAATAAATAACACCAATTCAACACAAACTCTTCTAGATAAAGAGGAGGGAAGACCACAAAACAATGAGAAAACAAATAACAAAATGGCAGGAGTAAATCTTTATCAATAATAACTTTGAATGTAAATAGGCAGGTGCAGTAGCTCATGCCTGTAATCCCAGTACTTTGGGAGGCTGAGGTGGGCGGATCACTTGAGGTCAGGAGTTTGAGACCAGCCTGGTCAATGTGGCAAAACCCCATCTCTACTAAAAATACAAAGATTAGCTGGGCGTGGTGGCACGCACCTATAATCCCAGCTACTCGGGTGGCTGAGGCATGAGAATCACTTGAACCCAGGAGGCGGAGGTTGCAGTGAGCCAAGATTGCACCACTGCACTCCAGCCTGGGCATCAAAGTGAGACCCTGTCTCCAAAAAAAAAAATTACAGCACAGTCAAATCGATGAATGATAGTATGTGAGTTTGGTCAAAAACAACCAAGAAACTTTGAATGTAAATAGACTAAACTCTCCAATCAAAAGACGGAGTGGCTGAATGGATAAAAAAAAAACAAGACCCAACCATCTGCTGCCTACAAGAAACACACGTCGCCTATAAAGACTCACACAGACTGAAAATAAAGGGATAGAAAAGGATATTCCATGCAAATGAGAACCAAAAAAGAGCAGTAGCAGCCATAGTTATATCAAAGTGGATTTCAAGACAAAAACTATAACAAGAGACAAAGAAGGTCATTATATAATGATAAAGGGGTCAATTCAGCAAGAGGATATAACAGTTATAAATATATATGCACCCAACACTGGAGCACCCAGATATGTAAAGCAAATATTACTAGAGCTAAATCGAGAGACAGACCCCAGTACAATAGTAACTGGAGACTTCAATACGCATTTTCACCCTTGGACAGATCTTTAAGACAGAAAATCAAAGAAATATCAGACTTAATCTATACTATAGACCAAATGAACATGATAGATATTTACAGAACATTTCATCCAACAGGTGCAGAATACACCTGCTTCTCATTAGCACATGGATCATTCTCAAGGATAGACCATATGCTAGGCTGCAAAACAAGTCTTTAAAAATCAAAAAAATTGAAATTATATCAAGTATCTTCTCCGACCATAATGGAATAAAATGAAATCAATAACAAAAGGAATTTTGGAAATTATACCAACACATAGAAATTAAACAATACGCTCCTGGATGGCCAGTGCATCAGTGAAGAAATTAAGAAGGAAATTTTAAAAATGTCTTGAAACAAATGATAATGGAAACACAACACACCAAAACCTACTATGTACTAGATTCAGCAAAAGCCATACTAAGAGCTATAGCTGTAAGTGCTAAGAGTTTATAGTTATGAGTGCCTATATCAAAAAAGTAGAAAAACTTCAAATAAGCTAATGATTCATCTTACAGAGCTAGAAATGCAAGAGCAAACCAAATCCAAAATTAGAAGAAAAATAATTAAGATCAGAGAAGAAATAAATGAAATTTAAATGAAGAAAACAATACAACAGATCAATGTAACAAAAAATCGGTTATTTGAAAAGATAAATAAAATTGACAGGCCAGGCATGGTGGCTCATGCCTGTAATCCCAGCATTTTGGGAGGCCGAGGCAGGCGAATTGCTTCAGCCCGGGAGGTCAAGACCAGCCTGGGCATCGTAGCAAAATCCCATCTCTACAATAACAAAAACACAAAAACCAAAAAATTAGCCAGGCCTGGTGGCATACACCTGTAGTCCCAGATACCTGGGAGGCTGAGGTGGGAGGCTGGCCTGAGCCTCAGGTGGATATCTACATGCAAACCTCACACCATATATGAAAATTAACTTGGAATTGATCAGAGACCTACATGTAAAACCTAAACTATAAAACTTCTAGAACAACACACAGGAGAGAATCTGTGTGACCTTGGGCTTGGCAAAGATTTCTTAAACTGAACATAAAAAGCATAAAATACAAAAGAAAAATCAATAAATTGGACATCATCAAATTAAACAGTTTTGCTCATCAAAAAACATTATTATGAAAATGAAAAACCATGGAGTGGGAGACCGTATCTGCAAAACATACACCCAAAAAAGGACTCATATCCAGACACATAAAGAACTCTCACAACTTCCCAAGAAGAAGATAAGCAACCCATTTTATCTTTAAAGATGGACAAAAGACTAGGACAGACACAGCCTTGGACCCCAGCCTCCCAGCCTGGCTCTCCTCCCTCCACTCTGTGTGACTGGATGGAGAAACGGCCCTGCCTGACCACCCAGTCATGCCCTCCCCACAGCTGCCAGCCTGCACTGGGGGCCCCCCCAGGTGCCCCCGCACCCGGCCATACCATTGAGGTAGTAGCTCCTCCTGGTCCTGTCCCCGGTGGGCAGGCTGCTCTCCGAGAAACACACCTTCTTAGGCCGGACCATCTCCCTGGGCTCCAGCAGGGTCTTGTCCACCAGTGAGTCTTGCAAGGGGCTCAGGAGCGGGGACAGCTTCCTGTCGGTGCCTCGGTGGCTATGTGGCTCTGGGGGACTGAGGAAGGCCTTGAAGGGTGCCTGGGAGGGGGCTGCACAGCCCGGGGAGGTGTCGTCCTCGCTGGACAGGGGGGCATGTGAGCACAGCAGGTCCTCCAGGGAGGATGTCTGCAGTTGGGAGGGCGTGTCGGCAACACTCGTGAACCTTCCGAAATCTGGAACTGAGGCGGGGAGGAAAGGGATGAGAAATCAGGCTGATGCTCCTAAAACATTCCTGGGAAGTATAAAGAACATGTTAACAACCCCTATGCACCCCACCCCAAGCTTCAACACCTGCCGGGGTTTCCCTGGCTTCAGAGCATCCTCCTTCCCCTCAGGCCTCAAGTGTAAAAGGAGGAGCTGGATGTGGTGAAGTGGCCACAGGTGCCCATCCTGCCCGTGGGAGCACTGCGTCTATGGGCACAGCAAGCGGGCAGGCCTCCGTGTGCCTCCTGCCTGCCTGTGTGCCCACACACACTGGAGAATGACTTTTATATGCTTAAGTTGTACATAAATGGTAGCACCCTACACATTTTATTCTGCAACTGAACTTTTTGCTGCTGCATTATCTCTTTGAGATTTATCCACCCTGAGCCATCTGGTAGCTACCTGGTTCATTTAACTGTTTCCTGGCAACTCTGTACACATGAGCACAAATACAGACACACACACTGAATTTTTAACCCTTGCCCTATTGATGGACAGGGCTTGTTTCCATGTTTCCGTGCAAACACACAGCTGTAATCGGCCTCCCGGGAGGAGCCTTCTGCTCTGTGAGCATCCTCTGTGGATGGGGAGGAGCCTCCTGCTCTGTGAGCATCCTCTGTGGATGGGGAGGAGCCCCCTGCTCTGTGAGCATCCTCTGTGGATGGGGAGGAGCCTCCTGCTCTGTGTACATCCTCTGTGGATGGGGAGGAGCCCCCTGCTCTGTGAGCATCCTCTGTGGATGGGGAGGAGCCCCTGCTCTGTGAGCATCCTCTGTGGATGGGGAGGAGCCCCCTGCTCTGTGAGCATCCTCTGTGGATGGGGAGGAGCCTCCTGCTCTGTGTACATCCTCTGTGGATGGGGAGGAGCCCCCTGCTCTGTGAGCATCCTCTGTGGATGGGGAGGAGCCCCTGCTCTCTGAGCATCCTCTGTGGATGGGGAGGAGCCCCCTGCTCTGTGAGCATCCTCTGTGGATGGGGAGGAGCCCCTGCTCTGTGAGCATCCTCTGTGGATGGGGAGGAGCCTCCTGCTCTGTGAACATCCTCTGTGGATGGGGAGGAGCCCCCTGCTCTGTGAGCATCCTCTGTGGATGGGGAGGAGCCCCTGCTCTGTGAGCATCCTCTGTGGATGGGGAGGAGCCTCTGCTCTGTGAGCATCCTCTGTGGATGGGGAGGAGCCTCCTGCTTTGTGAGCATCCTCTGTGGATGGGGAGGAGCCCCTGCTCTGTGAGCATCCTCTGTGGATGGGGAGGAGCCTCCTGCTCTGTGAGCATCCTCTGTGGATGGGGAGGAGCCCCCTGCTCTGTGAGCATCCTCTGTGGATGGGGAGGAGCCCCTGCTCTGTGAGCATCCTCTGTGGATGGGGAGGAGCCTCCTGCTCTGTGAACATCCTCTGTGGATGGGGAGGAGCCCCCTGCTCTGTGAGCATCCTCTGTGGATGGGGAGGAGCCCCTGCTCTGTGAGCATCCTCTGTGGATGGGGAGGAGCCTCTGCTCTGTGAGCATCCTCTGTGGATGGGGAGGAGCCTCCTGCTCTGTGAGCATCCTCTGTGGATGGGGAGGAGCCCCTGCTCTGTGAGCATCCTCTGTGGATGGGGAGGAGCCTCCTGCTCTGTGAGCATCCTCTGTGGATGGGGAGGAGCCCCCTGCTCTGTGAACATCCTCTGTGGATGGGGAGGAGCCCCCTATTCTGTGAACATCCTCTGTGGATGGGGAGGAGCCTCCTGCTCTGTGAGCATCCTCGTGGATGGGGAGGAGCCCCCTGCTCTGTGAACATCCTCTGTGGATGGGGAGGAGCCTCCCTGCTCTGTGAGCATCCTCTGTGGATGGGGAGGAGCCTCCTGCTCTGTGAGCATCCTCTGTGGATGGGGAGGAGCCTCCCTGCTCTGTGAGCATCCTCTGTGGATGGGGAGGAGCCTCCTGCTCTGTGAGCATCCTCTGTGGTCCAGGAGGAGCCTCCTGCTCTGTGAACATCCTCTGTGGATGGGGAGGAGCCTCCCTGCTCTGTGAGCATCCTCTGTGGATGGGGAGGAGCCTCCTGCTCTGTGAGCATCCTCTGTGGTCCAGGAGGAGCCTCCTTCTCTGTGAACATCCTCTGTGGATGGGGAGGAGCCCCCTGCTCTGTGAACATCCTCTGTGGATGGGGAGGAGCCCCCTACTCTGTGAACATCCTCTGTGGATGGGGAGGAGCCTCCTGCTCTGTGAGCATCCTCTGTGGATGGGGAGGAGCCTCCCTGCTCTGTGAGCATCCTCTGTGGATGGGGAGGAGCCTCCCTGCTCTGTGAGCATCCTCTGTGGATGGGGAGGAGCCTCCCTGCTCTGTGAACATCCTCTGTGGATGGGGAGGAGCCTCCCTGCTCTGTGAACATCCTCTGTGGATAGGGAGGAGCCTCCTGCTCTGTGAGCATCCTCTGTGGTCCAGGAGGAGCCTCCTGCTCTGTGAACATCCTCTGTGGATGGGGAGGAGCTTCCCTGCTCTGTGAACATCCTCTGTGGATGGGGAGGAGCCTCCCTGCTCTGTGAGCATCCTCTGTGGATGGGGAGGAGCCTCCTGCTCTGTGAGCATCCTCTGTGGATGGGGAGGAGCCCCCTGCTCTGTGAACATCCTCTGTGGATGGGGAGGAGCCTCCTGCTCTGTGAGCATCCTCTGTGGATGGGGAGGAGCCTCCCTGCTCTGTGAGCATCCTCTGTGGATGGGGAGGAGCCTCCTGCTCTGTGAGCATCCTCTGTGGTCCAGGAGGAGCCTCCTGCTCTGTGAACATCCTCTGTGGATGGGGAGGAGCCTCCCTGCTCTGTGAGCATCCTCTGTGGATGGGGAGGAGCCTCCTGCTCTGTGAGCATCCTCTGTGGTCCAGGAGGAGCCTCCTTCTCTGTGAACATCCTCTGTGGATGTGGAGGAGCCCCCTGCTCTGTGAACATCCTCTGTGGATGGGGAGGAGCCTCCTGCTCTGTGAGCATCCTCTGTGGATGGGGAGGAGCCTCCTGCTCTGTGAGCATCCTCTGTGGTCCAGGAGGAGCCTCCTGCTCTGTGAACATCCTCTGTGGATGGGGAGGAGCCCCCTGCTCTGTGAACATCCTCTGTGGATGGGGAGGAGCCCCCTACTCTGTGAACATCCTCTGTGGATGGGGAGGAGCCTCCTGCTCTGTGAGCATCCTCTGTGGATGGGGAGGAGCCTCCCTGCTCTGTGAGCATCCTCTGTGGATGGGGAGGAGCCTCCCTGCTCTGTGAGCATCCTCTGTGGATGGGGAGGAGCCTCCCTGCTCTGTGAACATCCTCTGTGGATGGGGAGGAGCCTCCCTGCTCTGTGAACATCCTCTGTGGATAGGGAGGAGCCTCCTGCTCTGTGAGCATCCTCTGTGGTCCAGGAGGAGCCTCCTGCTCTGTGAACATCCTCTGTGGATGGGGAGGAGCTTCCCTGCTCTGTGAACATCCTCTGTGGATGGGGAGGAGCCTCCTGCTCTGTGAGCATCCTCTGTGGTCCAGGAGGAGCCTCCTGCTCTGTGAACATCCTCTGTGGATGGGGAGGAGCCCCCTGCTCTGTGAACATCCTCTGTGGATGGGGAGGAGCCTCCTGCTCTGTGAGCATCCTCTGTGGATGGGGAGGAGCCCCCTACTCTGTGAACATCCTCTGTGGATGGGGAGGAGCCTCCTGCTCTGTGAGCATCCTCTGTGGATGGGGAGGAGCCTCCCTGCTCTGTGAGCATCCTCTGTGGATGGGGAGGAGCCTCCCTGCTCTGTGAACATCCTCTGTGGATGGGGAGGAGCCTCCCTGCTCTGTGAACATCCTCTGTGGATAGGGAGGAGCCTCCTGCTCTGTGAGCATCTTCTGTGGTCCAGGAGGAGCCTCCTGCTCTGTGAACATCCTCTGTGGATGGGGAGGAGCTTCCCTGCTCTGTGAACATCCTCTGTGGATGGGGAGGAGCCTCCCTGCTCTGTGAACATCCTCTGTGGATGGGGAGGAGCCTCCTGCTCTGTGAGCATCCTCTGTGGTCCAGGAGGAGCCTCCTGCTCTGTGAACATCCTCTGTGGATGGGGAGGAGCCCTCTGCTCTCTGAACATCCTCTGTGGATGGGGAGGAGCCTCCCTGCTCTGTGAGCATCCTCTGTGGATGGGGAGGAGCCTCCCTGCTCTGTGAACATCCTCTGTGGATGGGGAGGAGCCTCCTGCTCTGTGAACATCCTCTGTGGATGGGGAGGAGCTTCCCTGCTCTGTAAACATCCTCTGTGGATGGGGAGGAGCCTCCTGCTCTGTGAACATCCTTTGTGGATGGGGAGGAGCCTCCTGCTCTGTGAACATCCTCTGTGGTCTGACGCTGGGCTCAGGTGTGTTCACTTTCTTTGCTTTCCACACCAAGGGGGAGGGTCCATGCCCACCAACACCTCCTGGCCCCACACCCTCATGAGGACTGAATATTCCCCAACCAGGCTGATGAGGTCATGTGGCATTTCCCCAATCCCTGGCCAAATTTAGCTTATCTATGCCTTTATGGCTTATGAAATTCTATTCTACCTCCATGTCATGTGTATTCTCCTAGCAATAAAGCAAATACATATTAGAGAAAGTGTTCGGAGCCATATCAAAAAATTATACCTTAAAATGTGCCTACTGGAGCTTGCAGTGAGCCAAGATCGTGCCACTGCAATCCAGCCTGGGCGACAGAGCAAGAATCCATCTCAAAAAAAAAAAAAAAATGTGCCTACAAAGGAACCAACTAATCTTCCCTCTGAAATGTTTTCCAAGGAAAAAAAGTTCGAAAGAAGCAAAGTCATCAGCGTGTGCCCGGCCTCCTGCCACGTGGGAGGCCTGGAGTCCTCAGGCTTCACAGACCCCCCACCCCAGACACTTTTCAAATTATAAAAGAATATTATGTACAATTATGTATTAATTAAAATTTCAATAAAAGGAGATAGCCTGGAAAATTACTTTCAAGTGACTCAATAAGAAGTAGAAAACCTAAATGAACCAATACACAAAGAAGGAAAATCTAAAAGTTATGAAATGATTATTCCCCAGAGGGCTGCAGGCCTGGATGGTCTGTGGGTGAGTGTGCCAAGTTCCCAAACAAGTCATAATCCCGACATCATACAAATGAGGCTGGAACCGTAGAACAGGTTAAAAGATGCTCAATTAGGTTTCAAAATTTGTCACAACTCTGATGTCAAATTCCTACAAAGATAACCCCCAGAAAAAAAAAAAAAAAAAAAAAAACCATGGCCAGGCCAAAAATAATTGCACAAAGTCTCATCCAAACATGATCAAGAACACACAGCACGAGGCAGGAGTGTGCACAGAGCATGAGGCAGGAGTGCAGAGCATGAGGCGGGGGATGCACAGAGCATGAGGCGGGGGATGCACAGAGCATGAGGCCGGGGTATGCAAAGCACGAGGCGGGGGATGCACAGAGCGTGAGACGGGGGATGCACAGAGCGTGAGGCGGAGGATGCACAGAGCGTGAGGCGGGGGTTGTGCAGAGCACAAAGCGGGGAGGTGTGCAGAGCACAAGATGGGGGTGGAGAGCATGAGGCAGGGGTGTGTGCAGAGCACGAGGCGGTGGGGTGGAGAGCAAGAGGCAGGGTGTGCAGAACCCAGTGGCTGTGCAGCGTAGCAAGATACCAGATACGGTCCCTGGCAAGAAGCTGAGTTACCTCCACTGGTACAGAGATAGGCTCACAAACACCGAACAAGATGAGCCATTTCTCAAATTTTCTGTTTTCCAAAAATAAGAACAGGAAGGACTCTTCCACAGCATCCAGCCTGTGCAAACCTCCCTCCTCTGGGCAGATGGGACCGTTGGTCCTTCCCACAGCTGGTCAGGAGGACCAGGATGCGGCCAAAACCCTCTCTCACCTTCCCTGGACGAGGCCCCATGAAAGTCAAGGCCAAGGCCCGAGTTCTGAGTAATAAGGACAAAGACAGAAATAAGAAGTTCATGTGGATTGGAAGGGCGGGATGGCCGGCCAGATGCAGCCAGATGATACAGCTCCCACGGAGGGCCTGAGATGACTGGTGAGCTTCTAACACATCTTCAGAGGGAAGGTGCTGAGGGCAGATGGAGGGAGCACACAGAAGCTGGGCTGAAGGTGAGAAAGCTGGGAACCTGCCTGGGACTACTGAGCACTGGTGCTCATTTTTGGACCCACAACAGCTCTGGGGAAATGGGGTAGTTAAACGGGCAAGGAGCAACCCACTGTTGCCATGGGCCTCTGGAACCCCAGCTGGGGGAGACCCCTCGCCCACCATGGACACTCTAGTTGGCAGGGAGAGCTGCTTAGAGAAGTGGTGGCGGCAGCAGCCAGCTGAAGCGGAACCCAGAGGGTCTGGTGCAGGAACACAGCCAGGGACGGCCGTCCCCCAGGCTTGATTTGCTCCCACAGGAGACTTTGGACCTAGGGGAACTGTCAGACCTGTTCTCTGCAGGGTGGTCTTACCCATCAGATGGGACTGGTCCAACCTGAGCACCCCTTCGTCTGCTGGCCTCTCCTGGGGCCCCAGCCTGGCCATGCCTGCTTGCAGGGCAGTCTTGGGTGCCCTGGGGGTCTTCACCATAGCTTCTGTGCCGGCAGACTGTGCCTGGCCAGTGGAGAGCTCCAGTGAGACAGCCCCGACGGCCACACACCAGCCTGCCTGCTCCCTCCTCATATTGTAGCTTCCCCTGGGCCCAGGCAACTCCCCACATCACTCTGCTGATGTCTGCACAGGTGGGTTTTGATTTCCTTCCCCCACCAGCATGCAGGAGTCCAGTGGGCCTCCCCTTTCCCTACAGACTTCCATTGCAGATGAAGCCTTGGCAGACACAGAGCCAGCAAGCCCCATACCCACCAGAACCCTGCCTTTGACCTAACACTGAGCAGAGAACAGTGGATCCTCCCCCACCCTGAGCGATCACTCCTGCTTGCAGGGCACAGAAAAGGCACCTAGACCTGTGCCAACCAGCACCCCACCCATGCCTATAGTACCTCCAGAGTAACTGCACACAGTCTCCAACAGGAGCCCCCCATCCCCACCCCAGCTGCTTTGCCTCCACCACTGTGGTGAACCCCCACAGGAAGGCAGGCACTCTGCATCTGCCAGCCACTCTGCTGTAGCTGCAGTACCTCAGCCCCCCAGTGCAGTGGATTCCAAACCTCAAGGAGCCAGAGAACAAAGTCAGGGCCCAAAACAAGTCCCCCAGAGCTAGAGCATGCAGAGTCCAGGAGTTGGCAGCTGGGCACTGGCCCCTTAAATATTCCATAAATGAAGCCAGTTGGCTGAATCCACCTTATACCACAATCAAAACCTCAAGGTCATCAAACAGACCAGGCATGGTGGCTCATGTCTGTAATCCCAGCACTTTGAGAGGCTGAAGCAGGTGAATCACTTGAGGCCAGGAGTTCAAGACCAGCCTGGCCAACATGATGAAAACCCATCTCTACTAAAAAATAGAAAAATTAGCCAGGCATGGTGTTGGGTGCCTATAATTCCAGCTACTTGGGAGGCTGAGGCAGGAGAATCACTTGAACCTAGGAGGCAGAGGTTGCAGTGAGCCGAGATTGTGCTACTGCACTCCAGCCTGCCTGGGAGACAGAGCAAGACTCTGTCTCAAAAAAAAAAACAAAAAAAAAAAAAAACAGAATGGCAAGCTAGATAAAGAACCAAGACCCATTGGTATGCTGTCTTCAAGAGACCCATCTCACATGCAATAACACAAATAGGCTCAAAATAAAGGCATGGAGAAAAATCTACCAAGCAAATGGAAAACTATGATTGCAGGGTTGCAATCATAGTTTCTGACAA
Source organism: Homo sapiens (assembly GCF_000001405.40). Classification (NCBI taxonomy): domain Eukaryota; kingdom Metazoa; phylum Chordata; class Mammalia; order Primates; family Hominidae; genus Homo; species Homo sapiens. Next base: position 35,896 of record NT_187626.1, read on the forward strand.
AACAGATTTTAAACCAATGAAGATCAAAAAAGACAAAGAAGAGCATTACACAATGGTGAAGGGCTCAATTTAACAAGCAGACCTAACTACACTAAATATATATGCACCCAACACAAGAGCACCAAGATTTATAAAGCAAGTTCTCAGAGACCTTCAAAGAGGCTTAGACTCCCACATAATAATAGTGAGAGACTTCAACACCATACTGACAGTATTACAGATAATTGAGACAGAAAATTAAAAAAGATATTCAGGACATGAACTCAGCACCGGATCAAATGTACCTGACAGATATCTACAGAACTCTCCACCCCAAAACAATAGAATATACATTCTTCTCATTGCCACATGGCACACACTCTAAATTCAATCACATAATTGGAAGTAAAATACTCCTCAGCAAATGCAAAACAACTGGAATTATAACAAACAATCTCTCAGACGACAACGGACCCAGTTAGAAATCAAGCCTAAAAAATTCACTCAGAACCACACAATTACATGGAAATTGAATAACCCGCCCCTGAATGACTTTTGGGTAAACAGTGAAATTAAGGCAGAAATCAAGAAATTCCTTGAAGCTGATGAGAACAAAAATACAACATACCAGAATCTCTGGGACACAGCTAGGGCAGTGTTAAGAGGGAAATTTATAGCATTAAATGTTCACATCAAAAAGTTGGAAAGATCTCAGTCAAACAACCTAACATCACAGCTAAAAGAACTAGAGAATTAAGAGCAAACAAATCCCAAAGCTAGCAGAAAACAAGAAATAACCAAAATCAAAGCTGAACTGAAGGAGATTGAGACACAAAATACTATTCAAAACATCAATGAATCCAGGAGCTGGTTTTTTGAAAAAATTAATAAAATAGATATACCACTAGCTAGACTAATAAAGAAGAAAAGAGAAAAGATTCAAATAAACACAATCAGAAATAAGGGATATATTACTACTGACCCCGCAAAAATACAACCAACCATCAGAAAATATTATGAAAACCTCTATACACATAAACTAGAAAATCTAGAAAAAATGGATAAGTTCCTGGACACATACACCCTCCCAAGACTGAACTAGGAATAAATGGAATCCCTGAACACACCAATAACAAGCTCTAAAATTGAGTCAGTAATAAATAGCCTACCAACCAAAAAAAGCCAGGACCAGATGGATTCACAGCTGAATTGTACCAGATGTACAAAGAAGAGCTGGTACCATTCCTGGTGAAACTATTCCAAAAAGTTGAGGAGGAGAGTCTCCTCCCTAACTCATTCTATGAGGCCAGCATCATCCTGATAACAAAACCCGGCAGAGATGCAACAAAAAAAGATAACTTCAGGCCAATATATTTGATGAACATTGACGCAAAAATCCTCAACAAAATTCTGGCAAACCAAATCCAGCAGCACATCAAAAAGCTTATCCACCACAATCAAATAGGTTTTATCCCTGGGATGCAAGGTAGGTTCAACATAAATCAATAAATGCGATTCATTACATAAACAGAACTAAAGACAAAAACCATATGATTATCTTAATAGATGCAAAAAAAGCTTTCAACAAAATTCAACACCCCTTCATGTTAAAAACGCTCAATAAACTAGGTATTGAAGGAACATACCTCAAAATAGTAAGAGCTATGTATGACAAACTCACAACCAACATCAAAACTCAACCCCTCAAAACTTGGCACAAGACAAGAATGCCCTCTCTCACCACTCCTATTCAACATAGTATTGGAAGTCTTGATCAGAGCAATCAGGCCAAAGAAAGAAATAAAGCCCATCCAAATAGAAAGAGAGGAAATCAAACTATCCCTGTTTGCAGATGACATGATCTTATATCTAGAAAATCCCATAGTCTCAACCTAGATTCTTAAGCTGATAAACAACTTCAGCAAAGTCTCAGGATACAAAATGAATGTGCAAAAAACACTAACATTCCTATATACCAACAACAATCAAGACAAGAGCCAAATCAAATGGAATGAACTCCCATTTACAACTGCCACAAAAAGAATAAAATGCCTAGGAATACAGCTAACTAGGGAGGTGGAGGATGTCTACAAGGAGAACTACAAAACACTGCTCAAAGAAATCAGAGATTACACAAATGGGAAAACATTCCATGTTCATGCATAGGAAGAATCAATATCATAAAAATGGTCATACTGACCAAAGTAATTTTATAGAGTCAATGCTGTTCTTATTAAAATACCATTGAGATTAATCACAGAACTAGAAAAAAACTGTTTAAAAATTCATATGGAACCAAAAAAGAGCCCGAATAGCCAAGGCAATCCTAAGCAAAAATAACAAAGCTGGAGGCATCACACTACCCAACTTCAAACTATACTACAGAGCTACAATAACCAAAACAGCACGGTACATAGATCAATAGAACGGAACAGAGAACCCAGAAATAAGTTTGCACACCTATAACCACCTGATCTTCAACAAATCTGACAAAAACAAGCAATGAGGAAAGGACTCCCTATTAAATAAATGGTGCTGGGATAACTGGCTAGCCATATGCAGAAGACTGAAATTGGACCCTTTCCTTACACCATATACAAAAATCAACTCAATATGGATTATAGACTTAGATGTAAAACTCAAAACTATAAAAACCCTGGAAGACAACCTAGGCAATACCATTCAGAACATAGGGATGGGCAAAGATTTCACAACAAAGATGCTAAAAGCAATTGCAACAAAAGCAAAAATTGACTAATGGCATCTAATCAAAGAGCTTCTGCACAGCAAAATAAACTATCAACAGAGTAAACAGCAAACCTACAGAATGGGAGAAAATTTTTACAAACTAATGCATCTGACAAAGGTCTAATATTCAGCATCTATAAGGAACTTAAAGAAATCTACAAGAAAAAAACAAACAACCCCATTAAAAAGTGGGCAAAGGACATGAACACTTTTCTAAAGACATACATACAGCCAACGAGCATATGAAAAAAGGCTCAACATCACTGCTTATTAAAGAAATGTAAATAAAAACCACAATGAGACACCATCTCACACCAGTCAGAATGGCTATAATTAACAAGTCAAAAAACAACAGATGCTGGCAACGTTGCAGAGAAAAAGAACGCCTATACACTGTTAGTGGGAGCATAAATTAGTTCAGCCATTGTGGAAGACAGTGTGGCGATTCCTCGAAGACCTAAAAACAGAAATACCATTCAACCCAGCAATTCCATTACTGGTTGGGTTCCATTAATGGTACCCAAAGGAATATAAATCATTTTATTATAGAGACACATGCACGCATATGTTCACTGCAGACTATTCACAATAGCAAAGACACGGAATCAACTTAAATGCCCATCAGTGGTAGATTGGATAAAGAAAATGTTGTACATAGACACCATGGAATATTATGCAGCCATAAAAAAGAAAGAGATCAGCCGGGAGCAGTGGCTCATGCCTGTAATCCCAGTACTTTGGGAGGCCAAGGCAGGTGGATTACCTGAGGTCAGGAGTTCGAGACCAGCCTGACCAACATGGTGAAAACCATCTCTACTAAAAATACAAAATTAGCTGGGCATGGTGGTGCATGCCTGTAATCCCAGCTACTTGGGAGGCTGAGGCAGGAGAATTGCTTGAAATCGGGAAGCGGAGGTTGCAGCGAGCCGAGATCGTGCCATTGCACTCCAGCCTGGGCAACAAGAGTGAAACTCCATCTCAAAAAAAAAAAAAAAAAAAAAAAACCAGAATGAGATCATATCCTTTGCATGAACATGGATGGAGCTGGAGGCTATTGTCCTCAGCAAACTAATGCAGAAACAGAAAACCAAATGCCACATGCTCTTACTTATAAGTGGGAGCTAAACAACGAGAACACGTGGACACATAGAGGGGAACAACAGACACTGAGACCTACCAGATGGTGAAGGGTGAGAGAAGGGAGAGGATCAGGAATAATAACGAATGTACTAGGCTTAATACTTGAGTGACAAAATAATCTGTACAACAAACTCCCATGACACAAGTTCACCTATGTAATAAGCCTGCACTTGTACCCCTGAACTTAAAAGTTTTTTAAAAAAGAAATACATGGCCAGGTGCAGTGGTTCATGCCTGTAATCCCAGCACTTTGGGAGGCCGAGGTGGGTGGATCACCTGAGATCAGGAGTCCAAGATCAGCCTAGCCAACATGGCAAAACCCCATCTCTACTAAAAATACAAAAAGTAGCCAGGCATGGTGGTGTGTGCCTTTAATTCCAGCTACTGGGGAGGGCAAGGCAGGAGAATCGCTTGAACCCAGGAGGCAGAGGTTGCAGTGAACCAAGATGACACCACTGCACTCCAGCCTGGGCAACAGAGCCAGACTGTGTCTCAAAAACAAACAAACAAAAAACCATTTACTCCTGCCTTCTGAATCAATGATTCTATTTTTTAAAAATAAATCCAGCTGGACAGTGGCTCAAGCCTGTAATCCCAATGGTTTGGGAGGCCAAGGTGGGAGAATCGCTTGAGCCCAGGAGTTTGGGACTGGCCTGGGCAACATAGGGAGACCCTGTCTCTACAAAAAAAAAAAAAAAATTTTTAACTAGCCGCTCATGGTGGCAAGCACTGTAGTCCAAGCTACTCAGGAGGCTGAGGTAGGAGGATTGCTTGAGCCCCAGAGGTCGAGGCTGCAGTGAGTCATGATCATTGCCACTGCACTCCAGCCTGGGGAACATAGACCCTGTCTGAAAAAGAAAAAAACATAATGGGCCAGGCACGGTGGCTCACACCTGTAATCCCAGCATTTTAGGAGGTCGAGACAGAAGGATCCCTTAAGCCCAGGAGTTCAAGACCAGCAACATAGAAGATCCCATCTCCATAAAAGTAAAAAAAATCACACACACACCAAAAAAAGAAATCCAATGGAAATAACCTTAAATATAAAAATTCTTAAAACCTTTTTTGTGGTGCTATTTACCTCAAGGGGAAGAAAAACTTTAATTTCAAACTGAGGGAGAATTCATTACATTGTGGTTCATCCGAATCGGCAATATTGCAGGGCCATTTTAAAGTACACCTAACAACACAGGGACAATCTTCTGTCATGTCAGACGGAAGGAGTGACCAGGAGTTGCACATAGAGAATTCTCACCACTGTTGGAAATCATCTGACAATCCACCACCAACAACTAGGGAGCGAGTGGGCAATCTGGGGGGGCCTGGCTGTCCTCCAGGGGACACCTCTCCAGTGGAGACACGGCGAGTGGCATCGTGGCCGTGCTGGAGGGACCAGGACAATCCCGAGGGAGACGAGATGGGGCAGCTGGGAGGGGAGGCAGAGGACTGCTGCTCCCACTGGCCCTTCGCGTCACTCACTTGTAAACCTGGGTGAGAAGACCTGGAGACCTCGCTCCCCAGCTGACGGGGACAGATGAGCCCTCCTGTGACGTGGGAACGATGCCGGCGCAGTGCCCTCCTCCTCCATCAGTGGGGTGTAGGGACCGTTCAGAGAGCGTTTGACAGTGTCTGTTTCAACATTTCAAATGCACACAGCCTTTGACCCGAGGACCCAGGTGTGGGATCCCCTACACAAAGCCACAGGGCGCCTGCGCAGGCCACCCACGGCGGCGGCGTCCACGGTCGCAGAGAACTGGGAACAGTGCTGCCTGCCTGGGGCCCCCACAGAAGGAGCCCAGTGTTCAAGTGTGCCGGGGAGATCTGCAGATAAGGACTGGTGGGGAATGCCGCGAAATGGATCGTTAAGGGGGAAAAGTCAAGTTGCGGAACAGCACAATCCCGTGTAGGTGGACCAAAAAGATACACAGACAGACACACAGATCTCCACTAAAGTTCCAGAGAAAACCCAAGAGAACGTTGATTGTGGCTGCCTTTGCGGAGGGGGCCGGAGGCGTGGCCTGAGGCTTAAACGTTGCACCCTCCATGGCGTTTATAAGTTTACCATGAGCACGTGTTGTTGAATCCGTAAGAAAAGCAGGTTTTTACTCATCCTGTTTTGAACACAGATGCTAATGAAGTCTTGGCAACATGCAGACATTGCTGGTGGTGGTTCCTTTGTTTATAAACTTCTCCTTTTTTGCAGAAGCTCAGTGCTGGTCTTCCCAACCCCAGTTCTGCTGAGGGCTGGTCCTGAATGCAGCGTCCCACAGCCCCAGGTACATTCCCAAGCACATGCTGAGGCCCAGAGCATTAAGGGTGCACCACACGCTGCCACTCAAGTGGCAGAGTTTAGAGGGTGGTCTTGTCCAGGCCCCTCCCCGCTGCCAGCCCGGGCCACACTGAGCCTGCCCCACACCCTGTGGCGGGGGCTCCAAGGCCCTCTGTGGAAGGCCTGCTGGCCTCAGGTTGAGGCTCCTCCCAAGACCCGTGTCCAGCAAGACCTGGGTTTGCCAAGATGACCCAAGGGCAGGGGCAGCAGCCGTGGTCATGGAGACCCCGCCCGGACTCAGCCCCTGACAAGGGTCCCTCTGGGGACTGCACAGCCTGGGCAAGGGTTGAGGGTCTGCCCCTCTCCTGCCAGGGGAGGCACCAGCACTCTGTCCAGCCCTGAGGTCCGGCCCAGGGTGATTCCTTCTTGAGGAGGAGGACAGCAACGCAGCCCGGGGCACGCAGCCTGCGGCGGTCCACACACGCCAAACAGATTAAGGGCCCTTTTGCAGCCACAGTGCCCGGGCCTCACAAGTGCTGTGAACGGGACCCTGCACGTGGCCCAGCACCGTAAGCGCAGGTCTGCCCAGCAAACGCCCTGTGGTGAGCGTGGGGCTCAGTGGCCGCTGATGGAGACGCAGAACCTGGGGCCTCGCACAGCATGGCCCCCAGGCGCCAGGTTCCCCAGCCACACTGTCCCCGCACATCCTGGCGAGGTGCTCTCCTCCCAGCTCCCTGCGAGGAGCCCCTGCCTGTCACCAGAGACCAAAGGTGTGGGGACGATGCCATGGATTCCCCTCTTTGCTTCCAGACACGCTCGCTCTCAGGCTTGTCCATGGAGCTCCGAGCAGGGCCTGGGGCCTGGCTGCGGAGAGTGCCTCCTGCACACTGCGCCTGCTCAGAGTGCACATCTGAGGGTGGTGGCCAGCGTTTGAGAAGGACTCAGGAAGCAACCTCCCCCACCCCCAGCACAGGTGCTGGAGCGGCCCCTTGGTGAGTGGCAGAGCTGGCCTCCCGGGCATGGCTCGTGCTCGCAGACAGCAGTGTTCACGGGCACTGGCGAGGCTGCCTGCTCCATCGTCCAGGACCAGGCAGGCTGACCACGTCCTTTCCGGGCCCGGCCCGGTGGGAAGCTGAGGTTGGCCGTGGGAATCCCAGGCAGTGCTGGGTCAGGGACTCTGTCCTCTGCCCACCATCCCAACAAAAAGTCAAGGGTACATCTGTCAGCCCCACCCCAAATCACATGCAGGAACGGGTAATGTTTTTCCCAAACCTTTTAGAATAAAGCCTACTACTTTGCAGAAAGTGACCAAACCCTATATATATACTTTTTTCAGTAAAAAGCCACAGAAGGTCGGAGTCAATGCTATGTGGTGAGTGGATCATGGCTCCACACTCCCAGCCCCGCAGGGACAGGCGCCCACTTGTCCCTACCTGCTCCCCTGGCCGGTGGCTCTGAGGCCTCCCCAGGGTGGGACCTTCCCACCATGGGGCTGGCCTGGCTCTGGCCGGGGACATGAGTGGATGGGACACAGCACTCATGGGACTCGTGTGGCTGGTCTGACACCCCCCTCGCCCCTGACCCAGGAGAAGAGACACATGCAGCAGAGCAAACTGCCAGCCAGGACCAGCCTGGAAGAGCTGCCTGGGGCCCTGGAGGCCCACAAGCCTGCGCGCCACCTGCTCTACCCCTATGGGGACACTTCCATGACTGCAGCTGACCAGTCCACCTGCCAGCGGTTGACCACTCCCACTTCGCCAGCGACCGAAGGGGAGGGGAGGGGCCTCACCTGAGGGCAACAGCAGAACCCACCACCTGGTCTTGCTTTACTCAGACCTGAGGGTGTGAAAGGTGCCCGTGACCTCCCGCATCAGGGAGCTGGCCGCCACCCTCGACTCCCGGGGAGCAGGCGTCCCGCGACCCCCTCATCTACCAGGCCATCTGAGCTGGGCGGCGCCTCACCTCCGCTCCCGGGGGAGCCGGCCTCAGGGTAGGCATGCGCCCTGGGTGGGAGCAGGTCGTGGCCGCCGCCCTCCTGGCAGCTCTGGCTGAGCAGCCGCCGCAGCATCTGATTCTCCTTCAGGAGGCGCACCTGCTTCTTCAGGTCCGCGTTCTCGCTCAGGAGCCGGCTCATCAGCTCGCCGCCTTCAGCCATGGCGGGTGCGTCCCTCCTTGTCCCTCACGGCTCCTGCAGCCCCATGGAGGTGGGAGCCCAGAGCCCGCAGGCACCACAGAAACAGCCCAGGCACGGAGTTCCGTAGCCACCACCGCCTTCCACGCCTTGTGATGTCACTGCCCTAGTGATGAGGTGCCCAGCACCCTGCCTGCCCCCGCGATGGCTCATGGCCCCGTTGAGGCAGTGAAGCTGGAGGCCCGTGGCGTGCACAGGCAGCCACTCCCACATTATGACCAGGGCCCGAGAATGCCAAGGACATTAGGCAGCTACGGGATGTAGCGACTGTACTCCAAGAGGGGCGTCCAAGCCACTCCCCATTGAGCGGCCCAGCCAGGGTCGGGTGTCCACCCTGTGTGGTGTCCTCAAGCTGGGTGGGGACGCTGCCTTCACCCGAGTAACATGTGGGCTGCACTTCCCATAGGACCTGCCCAGGACACAGGGTTCCCAGTGCAGCTTCCTGTGGACCCTGGCACCCAGGGCAGCAACTGATGTGCAGGTGTTCATCAGGGTCCGTCCTTGGCACCCACACTTGAGGAGGGAGGGACTGGCAAGGGCAGTGGGAGGAGACCAGCATGTGGGGGAGACCAGCCTGGTGGGGAGACCAGCTTGTGGGGGAGACCAGTCTGCGGGGGAGACCAGCCTGGGGAGGAGACCAGCCTGCAGGGGAGACCAGCTTGCGGGGGAGACCAGCCTGCGGGGGAGACCAGCCTGGGCGGGGAGATCAGCCTGGGGGAGGAGACCAGCCTGGTGAGGAGACCAGCCTGGGGGAGGAGACCAGCCTTGTGGGGGAGACCAGCCTGCGGGGGAGACCAGCCTGGGCGGGGAGATCAGCCTGGGGGAGGAGACCAGCCTGGTGAGGAGACCAGCCTGGGGGAGGAGACCAGCTTGCGGGGGAGACCAGCCTGCGGGGGAGACCAGCCTGGGCGGGGAGATCAGCCTGGGGGAGGAGACCAGCCTGGTGAGGAGACCAGCCTGGGGGAGGAGACCAGCTTGCGGGGGAGACCAGCCTGCGGGGGAGACCAGCCTGGGCGGGGAGATCAGCCTGGGGGAGGAGACCAGCCTGGTGAGGAGACCAGCCTGGGGGAGGAGACCAGCCTTGTGGGGGAGACCAGCCTGGGGGAGGAGACCAGTCTTGCGGGGGAGACCAGCCTAGGGTGGGGAGACCAGCCTGAGGCAGCCCCACGATGGCCCCCACATGCTTTGGAGCACTGGGTGGCCCTGAGGGCTGGGCTGGAGGCCACCTACTGACCTCACTCCCTGATGAGAAGGGTCCAGCAGTGCATGTCCACCCCTCAGACCACGAGCGCCCGTGTCTAAGACACCAATTGTTCCTGACTGCACTGCTCCTGCCTGCACGTAACTGAGGACGCCCCCAACCCATGGCCACGGCCCCTCGGGCCGTCACACAGGGCTGCGGCTCATGGGGCCCTGCTAGAGCAGGCGTCTGTCCTCAGTCAGTGCGACCGACTTGAAACCCACCCTGACTCCCTGCTTCAATTACTTGGGAAAGTAAATCACCTCAGTGTTGTTTCTTGGCTCCGAGGGTCTTGTTTTATCAGCAGCCGGGATGCAACAGATGGGTCATCTCATCCTCATGGGAAGGGACGTACGGCAGAAAGCACAACCCAGTGGGCCGGCCACACCTCCAGCCCTGTGACGGGCACCCACCACCACCAACCCAGTGGGCCGGCCACACCTCCAGCCCTGTGACGGGCACCCACCACCACCAACCCAGTGGGCCGGCCACACCTCCAGCCCTGTGACGGGCACCCACCACCACCAACCCAGTGGGCCGGCCACACCTCCAGCCCTGTGACGGGCACCCACCACCACCAACCCAGTGGGCCGGCCACACCTCCAGCCCTGTGATGGGCACCCACCACCACCACCATCCCAGTGGGCCGGCCACACCTCCAGCCCTGTGACGGGCACTCAGGACCACCAAGGGCACTCAGGTGCAGATGCCCCTGGGAGAACACCACCTTCATTCAGCCCGGGCGGCCAGATTAGGGGAAGGTTGCTTCTAGGAGAGAAAGTCTTGAGTCAGGCTTTGTGGAGAAAGGAGGTTTCTACACCCCAAGCGTTCCTGACACAACCCAACCAGCCTGGTGTTGCACCACAGGGCTCACACCTCAGATCAAGACAACGGGGGCCCAGCCACAGCCCACTGACGAGGGCATGCAGGGCGTCCAGGATGCAGGGCAGAGAGAGAAGCGAGGGATGAGTCACGGATGCGCCCCCCGCTCTGAGCCCGACGGGGCCCTGAATGGCTTTTCCTGCCCTGGCTCCTCCCATCATATTTTAAATGCCGTCTTCCTCCCGCTCCAAGGAAACCTTCTCTTGACGTCAGGTACTCTCCAGCCACGGACCTATCAACATTCTGACAGTTTTCTGGTCTTGACACATTATCCTTTTAATATAGCGCTGGATTCAATTTATTAATATTTTAAGTATTTTTATGCTCACAGGGGAAGTCGATCTGAATCTCCTTTTCTTGTGATGTCTCGGTCTGGCTTTGGAACACTGGCCTTTTAAAATGAGCCGCAGAGATTCTGCGCCATTTTCTGGGTGTTCCTTCTTAAACGTCGGATAGAATTCATCTGTGAAGCTATCTAGAACTAGATTTCTTCTGGAAAAGTTTTAAATTTCTAAATCAATTTCTTAAATAGATACAACGCTACTTATATTTTATATTTTTCCCTCATGTGCGTTTTGCTGACAATTGTGGCTGTCAGGTAGTTTGTTGATAATAGGGGAGGCTGTGCATTTGTTGGGGCAGCGAGTGGGGAAATCTCTCTATCTTCCTCTCAATTTTGCTAAGAACCTAAAACTCCTCTTAAAAAAGTCTTGAAAAAGACAAAAGCACGAAGGAAACCAGAGAATATTTCAAGTTGAATGAGAATAAAAACATGACATTAGAATTTGTGGGGTGTAGTTAAAGCTTGATGCCCGTGCTCCACAACCACAGGAAATGGACAAACCCTACCAAAGTTATCAAAAGAGAAGGACACCCCATCTGTAGAAAACAGTCAGAAGATTAGGCAGATGTGGTGGTGCGTGTCTGTTGTCCCAGCTACTCGGAACACTGAGGTGGGAGGATTGCTTGAGCCTGGGAGGTCGAGGCTACAGTGAACTGTGGTTGCGCGGCTGTGCTCTAACTTGCGTGACAAAGTGAGACCCTGTCTCAATAAAATACTTTAATTAATGAAACTGAAACTTTCTGCTCTGCAAAGAATGTCAAGAAAATGAAAAGACAAGTCAGAGACTGGGAGAATATTTTTGAAACGTCCTGCAGCAAAGTGGTACTTTTTTGAGACAAGGTCTTGCTCTATTGCCCAGGCTGAAGGGCAAGTGGCATGATCACGGCTCACTGCAGCCTCAAATGCCTGGGCTCAAGAGATCCTCCTGCCTCAGCCTCCCAAGCAGCTGGGATTACAGGCGCGCACACCCACACTCAGTCCCAGAGTGGTCCATTTGTTACAGCTGATGAATCTACATGGACACATCGTCACCACCCAAAGCCCACAGTTTACAATGGGGCTCACTCTTGATGCTGCACATTCTCTGGCTTTGGACAAATGTATAATGACCTGTATCCACCATCACAGTGTCAGGCCAGAGCAGTTTCGCTACGCCTATAGTCCCAGCTACTCAGGAGGCTGAGGCAGGAGAATGGCGTGAACCCGGGAGGCAGAGCTTGCAGTGAGCCAAGATCGCGCCACTGCACTCCGGCCTGGGCGAAAGAGCGAGACTCCGTATCAAAAAAAAAAGAAAAGGCTGAAGACCTTAACAGACACCGCACCAAAGAAGATACACAGTTGTTAAATAAGCATATGAAAAGATGTTCCACATCATATGTCATCAGGGGAATGCAGATTAAAACTACCAATATACCTTTTAGAGTGGCCAAAATCCAGAACACTGCCACCACCAAATGCTGCTGAGGACGTGGAGTAACAGGAACTCATTGTTGGTGGGAATGCAAATTGGCACAGCCACTTTTGTTTGTTTGATTTCTTTTTTGTCTTTTTTGAGACGAAGTCTCTCTCTGTCACCCAGGCTGGAGTGCAGTGGCACAATCTCGGCTCACTGCAAGCTCTGCCTCCCGGGTTCACGCCATTCTCCTGCCTCAGCCTCCCGAGTAGCTGGGACTACAGGCGCCTGCCACCGTGCCCGGCTAATTTTTTTTATTTTTAGTAGAGACGGGGTTTCACCGTGTTAGCCAGGATGGTCTTTATCTCCTGACCTTGTGATCCGCCCACCTCGGCCTCCCAAAGTGCTGGGATTACAGGCGTGAGCCACCGCACCCGGCCCCTTCAGCCCATTTTTTAACCAGGTTGTTTTATTGTTGGGTTTGAAGAGCTCTTTTGGATACTGATCCTTTGTCTTTTTCAAATATATTCTCCCAGTCTCTGACTTGTCTTTTCATTTTCTTGACATTCTTTGCAGAGCAGAAAGTTTCAGTTTCATTAATTATTTTATTGAGACAGGGTCTCACTTTGTCACGCAAGTTAAGAGCACAGCCGCGCAACCACAGTTCACTGTAGCCTCGGCCTCCCAGGCTCAAGCAATCCTCCCACCTCAGTGTTCCGAGTAGCTGGGACAACGGGCACGCACCACCACACCTGCCTAATCTTCTGACTGTTTTGTACAGATGGGGTTTCACTGTTATCCAGGCTGGTCTCCAACTCCTGAGCCCAAGTGACCCTCCCACCTTGGCCCCTCAAAGTGCTGGGACTACAGGCATGAGCCAGAAATGTATTATTTTAATGAAGCCCAACCTATTAATGTTTTCTTTCGAGGATCATGCCTTTGGTGTCATATCTAAAGAGTTACTGCCAAACCCAAGGTCACCTAGATTTCCTCCTATGTGATGTTCTAGGGGTTTTATAGTTTTGTTTTACATTTAGGTCTCTGATTGATCTTGAGTATGTCTAGATGTGAAGGGTATGTCAAGGTTCATTTTTTTTTTACAAATGGAGTTTGTTTCAGCATTTGTTGAAGGCTGTCCTTTCTCCATTGAACTGCCTTTGCTCCTTTGCCACTGATTTTCAATTCAGTTTAACTCCACTGTGGTGGGGGAGGATGCTGTGTGTGACTTCCGTCCTTGCTAACATACTGAGACTCACCTGGTGAGCCAGCTGTGGTCTACCTTAGCACATGGGCCACGAGCTCTTGCAAAGCCGTGTGCTTCAGCAGTGTTAGGTGAAGCATCCTCTAAAGACCGCTCGCTTGTGTTGGCTGATGTTCAAATCTCTGTCCTTACAGATCTCATGTCTGTCAGTTACAAAGTACGGAAAGCACCCGTTAAAATTCTGTTTTTATCTCATTCTCTTCAATTCTGCCATTTTGCTTCATGTATTTTGAAGCTGTTATTTAGTGCATATACATTTGGGGTTGTTATGTCTTGATAAATCGATCTTATCATTATTGTCTCTTTACTCATTTCTGGTACCGTTCCTTGTCCTACCGTCTATGTTGATATTAAAAATATCAAGAGTCTGAAACTTTACATCATAGTGAACAAAGAAAACCTAATATGATGCCAGGGAAAAGATTTCAGGATGTTCAAAATCTGTTCCTGATAAAAATAATCTGAATTCAAAAATCTTTCATGACTGATTTTTAATCACACTGAGGCAAATATCCCCCTCAGACAGAGGCTGCACCGGTACAGCTGCCATCTCCTCTTGGTGGTGTCCTTTGTCAAGAGCATGTCAGGGTGATGAGTCATCTGGGACAGGTCACCCTCCCAGCACCGAGAAGCCGACGGGGGAGGAACAGACTCCTCTGCATTGTGATCCAATTGTGAACAAAAAGTCCTCTTCGTGGAACAGGAAAAATACACTCCCTCTAAACAATGGATTGAACACAGATGTGATTTCTAAAGAAGACTGAAGGCAGGGATACTGACACTGAAGTCCTGCCTGTGTAATAACACCGAAGAGGGCAGGGAATCGCTGCGTCCTGTGACTTGAAGGCCACTGTGAAGGAAAACAATGCAGTGAAAGAAAGTTCCTCCTATGTGGACATTGTATCACGTTTATTTATCTTCCTGGATATGCTTATGGCCTTTAAAACATATTAAAATAGGCTATGCTATTATCTCTTAAAATATCTGTTTTCCCTCAGGTAACTGGAGACGCACCCTGCTACTCCTCACGTCACTCTTGTTCCCTAAACCAGGCTGGGCCTCCCACTCGCCCCACAGGCAGGTGACGTATGACAGCCAGAAACCCCAAATCTGCAGTTCTCCCCAGGATGAAACGAAACACAGTGTGACAGGCTTCTGATAAGGGAATCAATGTCTGTTTATTAAGGCAGATGCTCATAAAAGTGACTTTCAGTAACATTTTCAGTATAAAAATGGATTTACATTTCATTTCTGGAAAACCGTTTTGTACAGTCTGACCATGGCTAGGAGTCCCAGGGACAGCAGCCTCTGCTCAGGGCAGACTCTGTGATTCACTGTCTGTCCTGCTGCTACCCCACGTGGGGGAGAACACGTGGGCTGAGAAAAAAAAACAGCATGTGCAAACCTGACAGATGTCAAGGGTCCCAACACAGTTCCTTCAGCGAAAATAAAGCCCAGTTTTAAGATGTGCAGGGAAGTGTTGACACTGAACAGGCAGCTGACCAAGCCCTGCAGGGCTCTGAGCAGGCAGGCGAGTCCCAAGGAGAGTCAGTGACAGCACATGGGGCAAGGGAGCTGGACAGAAGACCCCAGAGGGTGCGGCACCTGGGTGAGAGCCCTGGACTGCACACCAAGGCAGAGGGGTGCCCCTGAAGGACTCTGGGCAGGCAATGACAGGATCTGAGGGTGTCCAGACGCAGATCTCCACTGCCTGAGGGAGAGTGATCAGCCAGGGGGAGAGGCCAGGGACTGCTACCTGCCCAGAAGGCGGCAGGGAGGGGAAGAGCAGATAAGGAGGTATAGGGTGTGCCCTGGGCAAGGCAGCAGGGGTAACGAAGCTCTCAGTGACTCCTCCCAGTAGCCAGGGGAGAGCAGTGACAGTCTCAGGTGGCCCTGAGCATGTGAGCTGCTCATCCACATCAGGCAAAGGCAAAGCCAGGACCTGAACTTCCCACCCCAAGCCCTACATCCATGCAAGCCAGACCAGACTGGGTCAGAGGCTAGAAGGGAGCTCACAGGATTGCCTGGGGAAGCCTCGGCCCAAAACCTGGCCCTCGCTCCAGCCCAGAGCACCCACCTGGGCATGAGACTGGCGGCAGCCGTAGGGGTGCCCTGGGTATATGCCGGGCTCCCAGGGTGCCATACCTGCCAGCCAGCCCAGGGAGTGGTGATGGGCTGGGTGCTGGCTGTCCCTGCACATAGCAGTGCCCCGCGGCAGTAACTACAACTGCTGCCTGCCCCTCACCCCTGGTTATGCTCGGCCTCCCCTGTGCATTTCTGTGTCCGTAAGTGTCCCCTGTGCATTTCTGTGTCCACAAGACTACTATAAACCCTGTAGACACCTCACAAACAGCATTCCACGCAGGTGGGTTCATGTCCCAGGGGCATGGGGCTCCCTGCTGCACAGACTTGGGATGTTCCATGACAGACCCTGCATATGCAGGCGAGCTCACAACCCAGGGGTATGCGGCTCCATGACACCACCCCATACTCAGGCGAGCTCACGACCCAGGGGCATGAGGCTCCATGACACCACCCCATACGCAGGCAAGCTCACGACCCAGGGGCATGGGGCTCCCTGCTGCACGGCCTCAGGATGCTCCATGAGCAACCCCCGCACTGGGCTATTCACGGATGCACACTACCTGCCATTGTCACAGGGTTGCCCTCGTGTCCCTCAGCCCAGCAGACAAAAGGTGCAGGAGAAGCCTGCCCAGGGCCGACCCCAGCCCAGAGCCCACTCGACACTAAGGAATCACACAGGCACAGCTGCTCCTCTCCCAAGAACTCAGCTATTGGTCAGAAAAAACCTCCTAGCCTCACTACCTTGAGGCCGTGCCCAGAGGTGGCAGAAGGCGCTGTGCCTCCTCAGGGGTCACGGCTCCTGTGCCCCCTTCCTCACCCAAGCCCGACAAGCTACTTTCAGAAATGAACCTACAGTAAAAATCAAGAGTCTAAGCCACCCACCCTGTCCCCATCCCTGCCTCCAGCCTGGCCCCCAGATTCACATCTATGAGATAGAGGTTGAGGGGTTGGAGCCCAAGACAGGGTTATGGGAGGGCTCCCCAACCCGGCCAGGACCCCTTGGCCTCACTGGAACGCACAGACGGCACCCAGCAGGTAGGCATGTTCTCAGGGGTGGCCAGCAAGGGCTCTCTCAGGGTACAGCTGGGAGAAGCGGCCGAGGGCCCAGATGGGGAAGATGTTCCTGTAGCTCGTGTAGGAGATGGCACAGGACTTGTTGAAGACCCCAGCAATGTTTTCCTAAAAGAACACAGAGAAATAAACACAAAGGCTTCACCAGTCAGCTGAGGGCTAGTCCCTGAACTGGAGCCCTGGCTGTTGGCTTGGCTGGCTTGTGGGTGAGTCAGCCTGGAAAGGGCTAATTAAGCAAGAGCATAGGAAAGCAAGTAGTCCATCCCGCATCAGTCATGGCACCATCAGCCCAGCTCAGACTCCCCGCCCTGCAGCAAACCCTAAGCCAGGGTCACCAGCCCCTCACAACCACATCAGCTTCCACCAACTCAGCCTCATCCCAGGGGAGGGCGGTTGGCCTCACATGACCTCATGACACCCACACCACAGGGACTTCTGGCTCAGTGAGGGGCCACTAGGTCATCTGGAGTGGGAGGGTCTGTCCTGCAGCAAAAAGGCTTCCCGCCCACTGGCTTCTCCCATCCAGCTCCTCCCCCACCCAGAGCATCACTTGAAACAACAGCAAGATCTGGACTTTAGGACCCGACCACCTGCCACAGACCTGCCACCAACTGTGGCATTCACTGGCAGAGGTGACGCCTCCCAAGTGTCCAAAGTACCCCAAAAAGGACACAGAGCAGGGGGACGTGGAAACAGCCATGCACGCTGGAGGTCAGTGCTGGGCCTTGTGCGCTCAGGTCCCTGGCGGCATACCTGCGGCCAGTCGCCATTGGGGAGCTGTTTCTCAAGTAGACACCGGACTCCTCTCTCCTGGGCCTCGATGTCAGGATGCCTGGTGGAAGAGAAGGCTGAAACACACCCAGCATGCATGCCCCCACAGCATCATCCTCACCCTCACACAGCCGAGCATAAGGGCAAACCCTGGAATGCTGCAGTGAGAATGGATGGGTCTAAACTGACGCCCACAGGCCCCGCCAGGTGCAGCCAGCGCCTCGGGCTCTTGCCACACCTTCTTCCTAGGCTCCCTGAGAAGCGGAGCCACAGCAATGACAGGCTGGGGACACAGGCCTCCTCAGGCCTGCCCTGGTGTTCCCCCCTGAAGAGGACGCCAAGCCTTGTTCCCAACTGGCCCACTGGTCCTCATGGGCCTCTGGAGACCCACAGGAGCTCACACTTGCTTGCTGGCCAGGATAAGACACCAAGAAGGATCCAGGGCTCAGCGGGCCCAGCTCAACTGTGGGTCCCTGACTGTCCTGCCCTCAGGGGTCCCCCAGACCCTGCTGCTCCTGCTCAAGCAGACCTGCCCTAGCTTTTAGGGTTTTAGGAAGATTCCCCAAATGGCCACAAACCTAATAGGGCAGCACAGACGGGATGTTGCGGGTGCATCTGTATGTATGTGTGCACAGGTGCCTGTGCATGTGTACATGTGTGCATAGACCTGTATGTACATCTGTCTCCATGTACGTATGTCTGTGTGGCACAGATGCGATACTGCGGGTGCATCTGCATATGTGTGCACAGGTGCCTGTGCATGTGTACATGTGTGCATAGACCTGTGTGTGCATCTGTCTCCATGTACGTATGTCTGTGTGTGGCACAGATGGGATACTGCGGGTGCATCTGCATGTGTGTACACAGGTGCCTGTGCATGTGTACATGTGTGCATAGACCTGTGTGTACATCTGTCTCCATGTACGTATGTCTGTGTGTGGCACAGATGGGATACTGCGGGTGCATCTGCATATGTGTGCACAGGTGCCTGTGCATGTGTACATGTGTGCATAGACCTGTATGTGCATCTGTCTCCATGTACGTATGTCTGTGTATGGCACAGATGGGATACTGCGGGTGCATCTGCATGTGTGTACACAGGTGCCTGTGCATGTGTACATGTGTGCATAGACCTGTATGTGCATCTGTCTCCATGTACGTATGTCTGTGTGTGGCACAGATGGGATACTGTGGGTGCATCTGCATGTGTGTACACAGGTGCCTGTGCATGCATACGTGTGTGCATAGACCTGTGTGTGCATCTGTCTTCATGTACCTATGTCTGTGTGTGGCACAGATGGGATGCTGTGGGTGTATCTGCATGTGTGTACATAGGTGCCTGTGCATGCGTATGTGTGTGCACAGACCTGTGTGTGCATGTGTCTCCATGTACCTACGTCTGTGTGTGTCACAGATGGCATGCTGTGGGTGTATCTGCATGTGTGTACACACGTGCCTGTGCATGCGTATGTATGTGTGTGCACAGACATGTGTGTGCATCTGTCTCCATGTACCTACGTCTGTGTGTGTCACAGATGGTATGCTGTGGGTGTATCTGCGTGTGTGTACACAGGTGCCTGTGCATGCGTATGTATGTGTGTGCACAGACCTGTGTGTGCATCTGTCTCCATGTACCTACGTCTGTGTGTGGCACAGATGGGATCCTGTGGGTGCATCTGTACGTGTGTGTACACAGGTGCCTGTGCATGCGTATGTGTGTGCATAGACCTGTGTGTGCATCTGTCTCCATGTACCTATGTCTGTGTGTGGCACAGATGGGATGCTGTGGGTGTATCTGCATGTGTGTACACAGGTGCCTGTGCATGCGTATGTATGTGTGTGCACAGACCTGTGTGTGCATCTGTCTCCATGTACCTACGTCTGTGTGTGGCACAGATGGGATCCTGTGGGTGCATCTGTACGTGTGTGTACACAGGTGCCTGTGCATGCATACGTGTGTGCACAGACCTGTGTGTGCATCTGTCTCCATGTACCTATGTCAGTGTGTGGCACAGATGGGATGCTGTGGGTGCATCTGTATGTGTGTGGACACAGGTGCCTGTGTGGGCATGCGTACGTGTGTGCATAGGCCTGTGTGTGCATCTGTCTCCATGTACATCTGTGTGTGCACATCAGTGTGTACACTGATGCCTGCCTGCATGCGTCTGCGTGTGTGTGCACCTGGCACATATGTGGCTCAGCACCAGCTGTGAACACAGTAGGGCCACAGAGAGCAGCTGCTGTGACCGTCATCACTACCACACCAGGAAGCAGCATCCTCATCGCAGCCCACCTCGCTGTTTCCATGGGTCCCTGATGTGCTTGCTCTTCCACTGACATGGCTAATGGTGGGTGGTTCACTTCTAAGAGGCGAGCCTCTCTGCAGGGCCCCACTTGGTCAGAGCAGCCCACGTTCTTGCCCCAGGAACCAGGCATGTGGCTCTTGTAGGTGTCTGTTCCCAGAGTGGCAGCTGACCTGGCCCACAGGCCTCCCCTCCTCTCTACATTCACTCAGCCCAGGCCACCGGCTCACAGCTGAGTGTCCCTCCTCTACCCAAACCCAAGGCTCAGGGACGGTCCCGTCGTCCCCACCGAACGGCCATCAGCCCCATCATGGCCCAGCATGTGTTATGGATCTGGGACTGGGCACTCTGCAAATAACGCCGCTCCTCGCAGGACTCAAAGTCCTCCCCCCAGCCTCCGTCTGCCATCTGCCGGGACAGCAGGAAGTCACAGGCCCGGGAGACCTCTGCACAGGCAGTCCTGCAAAGACCAGAGACAGGAGACACCATCACACCAAGGAAGGTCCCAGACCCCTGGCTTCTCACCCCAGCAGGCTGCCTTGGGGTACGGGGAGGAGCCTGCACGATGGGGCCACCCTACCTAAGGGCCATGGGCCACTACTGAAACCCGAGCTTGACTTTTGCAGATGTGAACTGGGAACAGATACTCCTGCCTCCCAGAGTCGCTGGGAAGACAAAGGGACATGCGAGTACCGAGGATGGCCTCACGGACGCGTCAGGCTGAGTGAGGTCTGCAGTGCTTGGGAGCAGCGTCTCACAAGCTGCACTCAGCCAAGCACGGTGCTCCCCACCTCTAAACATCCACACGGCAGACTCTGGGAGACAGTGGGGCAGCTGGAGACAGGGCTGGGAGAGAGTCCGGCGGCTGGAGACACGGCTGGGACCGGAGATCTCCTGCCTTCTAACCCGCTCCAGCGAGGCCGTGGACCCTAATCTTCCTACTCAGGGTTGGGAGGCATCTGTATGCCTGGAGGGGCCGGAGACCAGAAGCGTCCCTCCAGCATACATGTCAGGAAGCTCCAGAGAGCTGTGGGACCAGGGAAACATCTTCATTTCAACCGGGGATCTTATCTCACTGTTTAAAAATATTAAAAACAGGCCAGGCACATTGGCTCATGCCTGTAACCCCAGCACTTTGGAAGGCCGAGGTAGGAAGACTGCTTGAGCCCAAACCAGTGTGAGCAACACAGCAAGACTCCATCTCTACATAAAAGTTTTAAAAGATTAGCCCGGGGTGGTGGCGTGCACCTGTGATCCCAGCTACTCGGGAGGATCGCTTGAGCCCACGAGTTTGAGACTGCAGTGAGCTAGGATCATGCCACTGCATGTCAGCCCGGTTGACAGAGCGAGACTCCGTCTCAAAAACAAACAAACAAACAAACAAACCCTAAAACCAAATGTCAAAGCAAAAAACACTCATGACAGAGCATTGGGTTGAGAACCCCCACCCACCAGAGGACAGGCACTCACTCACCCATCTCGGTAGGTCTGCCCCATACAGGCGAAGGCCTCCAGGCCAAACCAGGTGCCGTAGGTGAAGCAAACTCCCCAGGAGCTGGAGGGAAACAGGGAGAGCCTCAGCCCTTCCACCCTGTTCACAGCCGGTGTGTGAAACAACACGCATTCTGCAACAATCACACGTGCCCCAGCCAGCCCACCAACTCCAGTGCCTCAGGCATTAAGGCCGTGGAAGACAGCAGCTCTGTCTGCTGGACCCTAAGAGCAAGCAGAAAGGGTGGAGGGAATAGCCACGCTCAGGCTACAGCGCGCTCCCAGCAGCCCGGCTGCGCCCAGCAACGTACTGAGCAATTTCCACCGGGGCAAAGGCCACGCATGCCACAAAGGAACGAGGTCCCCCAGAAGTCACGGGCTGGCAGCTCACTTCCAGAAACTTCTGGTGTAGCAACAACATACAAGCCAACATTTATGAACGCAGTGTGTGAGAGCAGAAACCTGTGGATCCCGTGCATCTCTGCACTCACGAGTGGAGGCTCACTCACCCTTCCCAGGAGCCATCGGCCCTCTGCTGCCGCCGACAGAACTCTAAGCCCTGCGTGAGGGTCTCCCTGGAACACGAGATTGGTCCAGTGAACATTCTGGTAAAACAGCAGTTTACCTATCCCAATTCCATCCTTTCCAGGGTCTCAAAAGAATGAGAATGGTCTCCCTTAAAAACCACATAAAAATAAACAGTTTACACAGACCGATGAGGGTTTTAAAAAGAAGCAACCACAGGACACCAGAGCGGGAAGCGGATTGGCAGAGTCTGAGAAAGGGACGTGAGGGGAAAGCAAGGCCTTGGGAAGCCCCTGCAGACACAGCTGCAAACAGGAGCAGCATCCCTGAGATCCAGTGACCCAGGCTTGAGCAAACCCAACAAAGTGAACTAAATAAAAACAGGAAAAAATCAATTAGAGAGAAAACAATAGATTTAGAAGACAAGACCCATCCTACATCTAACTGATATTTCCAAAAAATAACCAGTTCTCTGAAAAGGCCAGAGCGAAGTGTCTACTCCAGTGTCACCCTGTGGGACGTGGGACTTGTCTTTAACCAGCAGATCACGGCAGGGTTGATGGGTGCGGGTCCTGGGACCGAGGTCTGTGTGACCGCGACTCCCATGGTGCTAGCAGACTCCCTCTACCAACTCTCCCTTCTCGCTTTTGTGAAGATGCCATCTAGAGAGGCCCCGCAGCAGACGGTAGTCGGCAGCTTCCAGCTGAGGAATGGGATCGTGCCGAGGACCCTGTGTGCTCAGAGGCAGATCCTTCCTCACTGGAAGCTCAGGCGAGACCCCGGTCCTGGCTAACACCCTGACTGAAGCCCGGAGAGACCCTGAGGCAGAGGACGACCTGCGAGGCCGCGCCTGGACTTCTGACACACAGAAACGGTGAAGTAATCAATGTGTGTTGTTCTAAGCCACTAGGTTTGTACTAATATTGTTACTCGGCAACAGGTAACAAATACAAATAGTCAAAGTACAAATTAGTAATATTAGCAATAAAAAGATAGAACTACAGATATGGTGAGAAATGACAAGAAAGTTTTATGTATTACATTTGCAAACTTAGAGAAAATATCTACAAATTAGAAAGATTAACTTATCAAAACTGGCTCAATCAAGAAATAGAGAACCTAAACAGTCCTAAAACTACTAAAAAAATGAGTCAAAATGTAAACTTTTCCCAGAAAAAAAACTCTAGGCCTAGGAATTTTATAAATGAATGCAACTAAATTATCAGACACACTCATTCTAATCTCACACAAACTCTTCCAGAGAACAGAAAGGAGGAACACTCTCTAGCTCATTCTAGGAACCCAGAGAAATAAGATATGGAAAAGTGAAAATTTCAGGCTCACTCATGAACACAGATGCAAAACTCCAAATTAAAACTGAGAAACTGCTGCCGGGCGCAGTGGCTCACGCCTTGTAATCCCAGCACTTTGGGAGATCGAGGTGGGCAGATCACGAGGTCAGGAGATTGAGACCACCCTGGCTAACATGGTGAAACCCCGTCTCTACTAAAAATACAAAAAATTAGCTGGGCATGATGACAGGCGCCTGTAGTCCCAGCTACTCGGGAGGCTGAGGCAGGAGAATGGCGTGAATCCGGGAGGCAGAGCTTGCGGTGAGCTGAGATTGTGCCACTGGACTCCAGCCTGGGAGACAGAGACTCTGTCTCAAAAAAAAAAAACAAAAAACAAAAAACAACTGAGAAACTGAATACTGTCTTAAATATAGACCAATACTAAGGTCGATCTCAGAAATACAAAGGTGTCTTAACATTAGAAAAATCCATAATAATCCTCTAAATTAACAAAGGACACAAATATATAATCATCTCAAAGCAGACGGGAGTTTGAGACCAGCCTGGGCAACAGAGCAAGATCCCATCTCTACAAAAAAATTGAAAAATTAGCTGAACGTAGTGGCACATGCCTGTGGTCCTAGCTGCTCAGGAGGCTGAGACAGGAGGATTCCTTAAGCCCAGGAGTTTGAGGCTGCAGTGAGCTATGATGGCACCACTGCACTCTGCCTGGGCAACAGAGTAAGACTGCGTCCCTTAAAAAAAAAAAAAAAGGGTCAGTTGTTTTCCTACCAGCAATGAACAATTAGATTTTGACATTTAAAACACAACGCCATTTACATTAGCACCAAAAAAATGAAATCCTTAGGTATAAACAACAAAATATGTACAAGATCTATATATGATGAAAACTACAAAATTCTGATGAAAGAAATAAAAGATCTTTCCAACTTGAGCTACAGATTCAATGTAATCCCAATCAAAGTCTCAGCAAGTTATTTTGTAAACTATTGACAAACTGACTCTAAAATGTATATGGAGAGGGAAAAAACCTAGAATAGTCAAAACACTATTGAAGAGAACACTGAAGTGAGAACAGGGGCGGTAACTGACTGCAAGGCCTACTACAGAGCTACAGGAACCAAGACAGTGTGGGATTGCTGAGAAGAACAAACAGATCAATGCAATGGAACAGAGAGCTCAGAAATAGACCCATGCAAATGCAGTCAACTGATTTTTTACAAAGAAACAAAGGCAACAAAATGACCCAAAAAGAGTCTTCTTGACAGATGGTACCAAAACAACTGGACATCCACATGCAAAAAAAAAAAAAAAAAAAAAAATCTAGACACAAACCATAAACCCTTCACAAAAGTTAACTCAAAATGAATCATGGACCTAGATGTAAAATGCAAAACTTTAAAAATCCTAGAATATAACACAGGAAAAAATCTAGGTACCCTTGGGCTTGGCAGTAACTTTTTAGATACAACACCAAAAACATGATACATGAAAGAGAACATTGATAAGCTGGACTTCCTTGAAATGAAAACTGGCTCTGCAAAAGATACTGTTAATAGAATGAAAAGACAAGACACAGGCAGAAAATATTTGCGAAAGACATATCTGATAAAGGACTGGCAGCCAAAATATATGAAGAACTAAAACTCAACAATAAGAAAATTTAATTTAAAAATGAGCCAAAGACTTTAAAGGACACATCACTGAAAAAGATACACAGATGGCAAATAACTATATGACAAGATTTTAACATAATGTCATTAGGGAATTGCAAATTGAAACAAGGAGATACCACTACACACCTCTTAGAAAGGCTAAAACCCAAAACACAACAGCAAATGCTGGTGAGGATGTGGAGCAACAAAACGCTCATCATTGCTGGTGGAAACGCAAATGGTGCAGCCACTTAAGATACAGTTTGGCAGCTTCTTACAGAACTAAACACACTCTTACCATAGGATCCCGCAATCATGCTTCTTGGCATTTACCCAAATGAGCTGAAAACTTATGTGCACGCTAACATTGATAGCAACTTTATTCATAGTTGCCAAAACTTGGAAGCAAGCAAGACATTCACCTTAGTAGGTGAATGAATAAACTGTGGTACATCCAGACAATGGAATATTATTCAGCACTAAAAAGAAATGTGCTATTGAGCCATAGAAAGAGACTCAGGAATCTTAAATGCTTCTTACTAAGTGAAATAGGTCAGTCTGAAAAGGCAAAACTATGGAGACAGTAAAAATATCAGTGTTTGCTACTAAGGGGTTCTGGAGGCGGGGACAGCGCAGAGGACTCCGGGGCAGTGAGATCCTGTGTGACACTGCAGTGGTGGGCACGTGCATCACACATCTGTGAAACCACAGAATGAACAACATGAAGAGGAAGCTGAATGTAAACAATGGACTCTGGACGATAATAATTTATGAATGTTGCAAACGCACCACTTGAATGCAAGATGTTAGTACTGGGGAAACTTGAGGGAAGGTGCGAGGAGTTAGCGGCTTTATGGGAACACTGCATCTTCCACTCAAATTTTCTGTAAATTTAAAGCTGCTATAAAAGATAAAGTACATAAATTTTTTTAAAAGTTTAGCAAAATTGTCTAGCTATGAGATCAGTATCAAAATCAATTGCGTAAGAATCTATGCGTCCACAGTGATAAATAAGTAAATAAACAGAGGCAAAGGAAAAGCTTTTGGAAGAACACCAACTAATACATATGGAAGGAATGATAATTTTGTAAGCATTATGCAAATAATTGATTCAGGCAAGAATCATCATCAAATGCTAACACTAACAGGTATAAGTATGATGAGAAATAGGACGTTTACATAGTCTAAAACTGTCTCCCCACAAAGAAAAAAAAAGCAACTTCATAGCGGAGAAACTAAGTACAGCGGTCATCACCTTAATCAAGGGATCAAAGTTGGTGTGTGCTTCCTGGTAAGGTGCAGGAGAAGGCCCCATTTCTTCTGCAATCTTCCTGACAAAAATGTAGTTTCATAACCTGAATCTAATCACGAGACACCAGAAAAAAAAAAACACTGAGGATATTCTACAAAATAACTTGTGGAACAATTCAAAAATGACAAAGTCATCAAACACAAGGAAAGATTAAGGAATTATTCCAGGTTAAAAGGGTGTCAATGTGATAACTAAATGCAACCCATGTGCACAGTGAGAAGGGTAAGGAAAACAGAAAAAGAAAAGAAAAATAATTAAAAATAAACAAATGCAACCCATGATATTGGATTAAAGCTTGAGGGAAGATTTTGCCATAAAGGACATTATTGGAACAATTAGGCCTGCAGATTAGTATTTCATCAACATTAACATTCTGACTTACACTTGCACAAAAGAATACACCTGCTAAGAAATACTCAGGCAGTTAGGGGTACACATCCTATCTGCAAATTCCTTTCCAATGGTTCAAGAAAGAATGGGCCTGGATCATGTGGGAAGACAGGTAATGAAGCCCTGAGGGTAGAGCCTGGATCATGTGGGAGGACAGGTCATGAAGCCCTGAGGGTAGAGCCTGGATCACGTGGGAGGACAGGTCATGAAGTCCTCAGGGTAGAGCCTGGATCATGTGGGAGGAAGGGTCATGAAGCCCTGAGGGTAGAGCCTGGATCACGTGGGAGGACAGGTCATGAAGCCCTGAGGGTAGAGCCTGGATCACGTGGGAGGACAGGTCATGAAGCCCTGAGGGTAGAGCCTGGATCACGTGGGAGGACAGGTCATGAAGCCCTGAGGGTAGAGCCTGGATCATGTGGGAGGACAGGTCATGAAGCCCTGAGGGTAGAGCCTGGATCACGTGGGAGGACAGGTCATGAAGCCCTGAGGGTAGAGCCTGGATCACGTGGGAGGACAGGTCATGAAGCCCTGAGGGTAGAGCCTGGATCACGTGGGAGGACAGGTCATGAAGCCCTGAGGGTAGAGCCTGGATCACGTGGGAGGACAGGTCATGAAGCCCTGAGGGTAGAGCCTGGATCATGTGGGAGGACAGGTCATGAAGCCCTGAGGGTAGAGCCTGGATCATGTGGGAGGACAGGTCATGAAGCCCTCAGGGTAGGGTGCCACCCACTAAAGAATTCTAGTCAGAGTAAACAGGAGCACTTTTCAGTATTTTTGTAACTTTTCTATAAATTTGTGAATTTAAGGGAGAATTTAAGTCTGTCTAGTAAAATAGAATATTCCATATAAATAGTGTTAAAGTAACTTGCAACTCCAAACTGTATCTCAAAAACTCTCCAGGTAAGTTTAAAATCTTTTTTTTTTTTTTGAGACGGTGTCTTGCACTCTCGCCTAGGCTGGAGTGCAGTGGCACCATCTCGGCTCACTGCAAGCTCCACCTCCCGGGTTCACGCCATTCTCCTGCCTCAGCCTCCCGAGTAGCTGGGACTACAAGCGCCCGCCACCACGCCCGGCTAATTTTTGTATTTTTAGTAGACAAGGTTTCACCGTGTTAGCCAGGATGGTCTCGATCTCCTGACCTTGTGATCCACCCGCCTCGGCCTCCCAAAGTGCTGGGATTACAGGCGTCAGCCACTGCGCCCGGCAAGTTTAAAATCTTAATATAGGCCGGGCGCGGTGGCTCACGCCTGTAATCCCAGCACTTTGGGAGGCCGAGGCGGGCGGATCACGAGGTCAGGAGATCGAGACCATCCTGGCTAAAACGGTGAAACCCCGTCTCTACTAAAAATACAAAAAATTAGCCGGGCGTAGTGGCGGGCGCCTGTAGTCCCAGCTACTTGGGAGGCTGAGGCAGGAGAATGGCGTGAACCCGGGAGGCGGAGCTTGCAGTGAGCCGAGATCCCGCCACTGCACTCCAGCCTGGGCGACAGAGCGAGACTCCGTCTCAAAAAAAAAAAAAATAAATAAAATAAAATCTTAATATAAAAATCACACTAATATATTTAACCATTTAAAAGTTAAAAACTTATGTTCATACTCCCTAAAGAGATAAAAAGAACAAAGAAATTGAGGGGAAAATATCTGTAACATAATACACAAATACTTACTGTGCTTAAAAATGAAAGAAAAAACTTCCTGGTGAAAATTTTAAAAATGGCTGGGTGTGGTGGCTCACTCTGTAATCCCAGCATTTGGGGAGGCCGAGGTGGGAGGATTGCTTGAGCCCAGCAGTTCAAGACCAGCCTGAGCAACATTTAAAAAATACAAAACATTTAAAAAATTAGCCACAGGTGATGGTATGCACCTGTAGTCCCAGCTACTCAGGAGGCTGAGGTGGGAGGATTGCTTGAGCCCGGAAGTTTGAGACTGTGGTGAGCCATGATTTTGCTACTGCACTCCAGCCTAGGTAACAGAGTGAGACCCTGCTTCAAACAAATAAACAAAAAAAGAATGTTCTAGCTTGGAAGTCACCAAAGAAATGCAGAGGAAGCCCGCGATTAAGTCACCATTGCTCCCCTGCGGGCCACATCCGGGACTCATTGTTCTACACAGTGACAACAACTGACATGTGCTTCCCTGTGGCATCTCACACAATCCCACCACTCTGTGAGGCTGTACTGTTGCCCACTCAGGCAGGGAGAGAGATGAGCAGAGAAGAGAAGTCACCAGGCCAGGTCAGACAGCCAGAAGGGGCAGGGATGGGGGCTGACCCAGGCAGGTGGACCCCAAGCCATGTGGCTCTAGGGAATAATAATGGTCATGAATAAATATTTAACAAGAAAATACCAGTTAAGGTTAAAATGGGGAAAAGCTAAAAAACAACAAGGAAAACTGAAAAATAACCCAGAGGCTACTGAGTAAAATGACACAACACCTGTGCCATTACTGCTCGTGCTGGAGGAGCGCGCTCAATGGTGGGGCTTTTAGAAACCTCACCAGGCACAAAGTGGGCCAGGCGTGAAAGGGGCAGCAAGCCGCCATGGAAATGTGGAGACCAAACAGCAACAGCAGATTCTCCTTCAGGGGCGAGGAGGGGCGACTTAGCTTCTTCTTTGCGCTTCTCTGTATTTTGCAAGTCTTGTTTGCAAAGAACCTGCTTTACTTTTATTACAGTGATTTTTAAAAGATGATCTATTTTTTAAAAGGCCAATTCTCTAAATGTGGCTGAGGACAACTCACGCCCACCTCATGCCGCAGAGCAGCACATGGCCGAGGGCCACGCCAGGCCGACAGAAGACCCTGGACACAGTGCCCTCCTAGCTGCACCTGTGAAGCACAAGAAAACCCCTGCTCCATCCACGGCTTCCAAAAAAACCACACCAGAACATTCTCAGATTGTAAATGAAGCAGCATACTCCCACATAACTCATGGGCCAGAGAAGAACAGTAGAAACAGAAAACACTTTTAGTATCTGTGCTACCACAGCAAGCACCAGAACACACATTTAACTGAATGATATCTCAAAACTCATTTATAGCCTCAAATTCATATTTCAATAAAAGCCTGAAAATCAAATATCTAAGTATTCAAGTTAGAAAAATAAAGGAGAAAGAAAATAGCAAAGGCCAGTGTGGTGGCTCACACCTGTAATCCCAGCACTCTGGGAGGCCAAGGAAGGTGGATCACCTGAGGTCAGGAGTTCAAGACCAGCTTGGACAACATGGTAAAACCCTGTCTCTAATAAAAATACCAAAAAATTGGCCAGTCATGGTGGTCAGCACCTGTAGTCCCAGCTACTCGGGAGGCTGAGGCAGGAGAATCGCTTGAACCCCGGAAACGGAGGTTGCAGTGAACTGAGATCACGCCACTGCTCCCCAACCTCAGCAACAGAGCAAGACTCCATCTCAAAAAAATTAAGAAAGAAAGAAAATAACAAACAATAGAAATTGATGAAACCAAAAATAAAGTCTCTTTAAAAACAGAATCAAAGACTAAGATTTTTTTTTTTTCAAAAGATCAGTATAAGATTCTCAGAAGGAAGAGGAGGATGTCAGCGTTGGGCTCAGAGCCATCTAAGAGGACACTGAACAACTTTGCATGAATCAGTGTAAAGCTGAGTGGAAATGGGAAGACTCCCCAGACTGATACAAAAATGGAAAATCTGCTCAGTCCTATAAACTATTAAAGAAATTACACCGCACTCCAGCCTGAGTGAGAGAGCTAGAACCCATCTCAAAAAAAAAAGAAAGAAAGAAAGAAAGAAAGAAATTGAACTTCTAATTTAAAAACTTTCCTCAAAGAAATCTCCAGGCCCAACTGGCATTTCCGGTAATTTTTCCCAAACATTTAAGGCAGAAATATTATGAATATTACATAAATTCTTCCAAAGAGTATTTTAAAAGCATTTTCCAACTGCTTTTCTAAGTCCAGCATCATCTTAACAGGAAAACCTGACAAAAACATTATAAAGAAAAAAAAATTATAGACCAGCGTCTCTTGTAACCAGAGTTGCTAAAATCCTAACAAAATATTCTTCAAATTGAATCTAGCAATATATAAAAAGGACAGTGCATTGTGACCAAGGTGAGTCTACACCAGGTTGAACAAAAGTAAAAAAATGTAATCGTGATAGGATAAAGAAGAACCTACAAAAATCACATACCCTATAACGTACCCTCTAACACAGCAATGCCACTCCTAGGTACGTGACCATGAGAAATGGGTACCCAGGTGCCCCCAAAAGATAAGTACAAGAGTGTTCACAGTAGATGCTTCATAATAACCCAGACTGAAATCCTCCCAGGTGCTGAGAACAGGCAGCTGGATAGCGCGGCATCTGTGTTCAACCGAAGGCCCGAGGGAGAGAACGCTGCTGTTACCCGAGCCACCTGACTAACCGCGAGCAGGAGAGCAGGAGAGCAGGAGAAGGCAACACGAATTCCACACCTCAGGAGTCCACCTAGACAAGATCCAAAGCGAGCAACAGACACCCACGACCTGGCAGGCATGTGGGCGGCCCCGTCATGGGGCGGGCCGAGGGCTCTGGTGGTGTCACCATGTCTAATGCTGGCACTGTTCGCTTCCTGTTTGCTTCAAGAAGACCAACCTGTACACTTTTCTGAATACTTGCTACCCTTCAACAGGAAAGGTTACTTAAAAACCGTTTCTGGGACACCGGTGGAGTCAGGTATGTGATGTCTTCTTAACATTATTAAAAGAGAGAGAAAATCCATTTTTGTATCATAACTGTGCTATTCTGAGCCCCTAACAGATATTTTGTATGCTTTAGGGCATATGACTGGATTCCACAACATCCGAAGCCTCTTGCATGTTTCCATGAGTTTCGCTTCTGAGATGGGCCACCAGGGCCGTGTCACAGAATGATGCGTCTGGGTCTTGGCCCCCGACTTGGCAGCGCCCACACTGAATGGCTGAGACCCTCCTTACCGGATCTCCGCTGCCCTGTGCTCCGGGAAACGCTTGTGGAAATACTTAAGCGCCTGCATCACGGCTGAGGTGCACTCCACATAGGTGTAGTCAATCATGATGTCCCCTGGGAAAGGGAGGGAAGAACCAAGTGTTGGGTTTCACCCTGGCTGCCCAGGCTCTGCAGCTCAGGCAAAGCCACAACAAGCAAGAGTGTTGCAGTGAGCCCGGGCCCGGACGCTGCCTCCCTGACCAACCTCCAGAGCAAACGCCGGCTGGTCCAGGACACACACCTGTGCTACCTGAGAGCGAAGATGAGGGGAACACAGCAGAAAGCTGCGACCCCACCCCAAAAAGCCATGTGTGATGTGGAGGGGACCAGGAAGGCGGGTATGTGAGGTGCCCAGAGGTGGACCAGGGCTGAGATCCTCCCCCAAGACCAGTACGGTGGCAACCATGCACACACAGCAGCCTACTGCCCATGGCATGGGTCCCCACAGTCCCCACAGTCCCCAAAGACACCTCCCTGCAGGCGCTCTGGATACACAGCAGCCTCCACAGAACACAAGCCCTGTGGACTGAGCAGGAACCAGCCCAGGCTGTGGATCTCACTGGAACCCTCCACTGTCCCCTAGGTCTGACCTGATGCCCTCCTATCCACAACACAAGGATCCTGCCACCCCGGGGGATGGAGGAGCGCAGAACAGCCTGGGCTGAGGGAGGGCTCCAGACAGATCTGCCGGTGAACCTGGGCCCTTGCAGCCTCGGGCAAGGGGGAAAAGCTGGCCCCCAGGTTTGTGTACCACAGTGCTAGCCAGCCCCGGGTTTGCGCGCCGCAGTGCTGGCCGACCACTCACCGAAGACCTCCGAGGGGTTCAGCAGCTCCAGCAAGTGCCCCCCACGCTTGGTCTCATAGGTGGCGAACCCTCCATCTGGATTTCTCATGTTCAGCAGCTGAAATCACAGAGAGCACCCTAGAACTCGCCCATGTGCTGAGCACACACAGGCGCCCAGGGCACAGCGGAACTCTCTAGAGGCAACACTAGGGCTGACAACCGATGGGGCAGGAACAGGGGGCGGAGAGCTGATTTCCACGTTAACCAAGCCCTCGGGTGCCCCAAGCAGCAGCTGCAACCTCATCTGTCAGGGCCTCCATGCACAGCCACCAGGGAACATGCCCCCACACGTGCCCATGACTTAGAAACCAAGTCTGTGCTGCCAGAAAAGGGCAGGGTCTCCACTGGGAAACACACACAAAAGCCAGATGTGCTGAAAGGATGTGGCACCAAAACCAACACCAACAAATTCCCTCTTCAGACACCCAGTGGAAACCACCAGAGAGAAACCTTGGGGGCCACGCCGGCTCCCCCAAGTATCGGTGGCTGGGCTGGACACCAGCTCCGCAGTGCAGGGCCCTGTGCACACAGCCCAGCAAGGCCCCTAGGGGTCCAGCCAGAGCTCACAGTTCTCCACATATAGACACCATCCAAGGACAAGCTCCTACGGCCTGGCCGGACTGTGTGCTGGGCTGGAGCCCACAGGAGTGGAAGTGAGCACGCAGCTCATCTGCAGGACACGAGGTATGGACGGGGCTGCTGGGACCACAGCCTTACCACAGCCACAGCATCGCAGAGCCGTTCTCTGGGGATGTGCTCGGTGACATGGGGACACTTCTCCTGCAGGAGCAGCACAGCCTTCAAGGCCTCAGCCGTGCAGTCAGAAACGATCCAGCCGCAGTCCAGCGTACTGAAGGAGAAGCCACCCTGCAGAGCACAAGCCATGACTCCAGGCTGGGGGTGTCCACACCCCAGTTCTCAGAACCTCCCCACAGCCGCACGCATCCCTCCCCACCACAGAGCACCCGGTCAGGGCAGGGGCCCAGCCACCAAAGGTGTGGGTGCAGCCAGGGCCCCAAGCTGGGTACATCCAGACAGACCTCCAGCTTCCAGCACAGGGACCCTCAGGGGTGCAGCTCACACCCTCAACACCTGCAGATCTCACGACGGACAGGATGGGGCCCAGGTGCCCCCCACCCCCATTGTAAACAGGCAGCAGCAGCTGGGTCCATGCCTAATTTCACAGTCTGCACCTGTGGTCACAGCCCACACCGGCTCTGAGGTCTACTTCTTTCCTCTGCCTTCCCCGGACACACTGGCTACACTTCGGCTGTCCTTCTGAAGCCTGTGTGTGCCGTGACCACTGGAACTGCTCTGAGGCACGGCTGTGTGTGCAAGCCAACTGTGCCTCCATGTGCCAGGCAGCTCAGCAACATGAAGCATGAGCCCCTAGGCCAGGCATCCACCACAGCAGGACACCCAAAAACGCCAAGGGAGGAGTCCCCCAGGGAGGAGCCCCCCCTTCAGAGGGAAGGACCCACCCTGCTGAGGGCGGCCTCCCCTGGGGGACGGGACAGGGATGGGGCTGGCTCCCGCATACCTTGCGCATCTGGCGGTAGTACTTCTGGTAGTCGGGAGGGTTATCTGGGACCTGGGCAGCATCGAGGGCAAATGTGGAAGCAGAGAACACGTCACCACGGGACGTCCCCATCTGGGACATCGCTGAGACAGACTGGGCAGGACTGGAGAGGCAGAACGTGCCTGGGAGCTTACTCTGCCGGCCACAGCCACCACTGGTGCTGCGAGGCGCGCGAGGGCCTGCACCTGTTTAGCTCACCACCCACAGCTGCTGGGAAACGTGACTGGCCAGCGAGGGCTCAAACCAGCCCAGACGGGACTGGGAGTCAGCACCTGACTCCCCTGTGATCTCCCCACCGGCCAGAAGGCAGGGAGGGGGCCCAGGTCTCTGCGGGTGTGCTCTGTGCCAGGCGCCCCCAATGCCTCCTGAACAACCTCAGCTTCTGGCTGCCTCTCTCACCTCAGTGAGAAGGGAAGAGGCCTGGAGTGCCGTAGGGTTCAGTCAGCCTCCCCAAGTCCCCATCACCCAGAGCAAGTCCTGGGCAGGAGGCAGGAGCAGGAGCAGGCCACCATTGGGCCAGGCACAGCAGGACAATGCCCCTCCTCTGCTTGAGCCCAAGATGGGTGCCAGCCTTGGCCACACAGAGGCCAGGAAGACCCAGAAGCCCTGCAGAACAATGTCCTAGTGAGAGCTGAAGGGAGGGAGACGGGGCTGGGGGGCAGCGGTTCCAGGCAGAGGGACACTGGCTGAGGCCGTGGCCGGGACAGGGTGTGGGAGACACGGGAGGTTGGGGCGCATGTATGGGATGACTGTGGCTGCAGACTGGGGTGCAGGCACGTGTGAGAGACACTGAGGTCAAACTATGGGCTCGGGCAGGGTCTGTGGGCAGCTGATCTGGCAGGAGGGACCGGGGCTTTTGCTGCAAACAGTCTCAGGAGGGCAAGTCCACAGGCTGGCGTCACCTCCATGGGCAGAAGGTGCTTCAGAGACATGGAGGTGCCGTGTAGGCTGTGCAGCTCAGGGTACACAGCCCCTGCCCGTGCCTGGCCCTTGCACACAGTGGCTCCAACATGAGCAGGACGCAGAAACTGCCAGCACCCCCAGCACCCTGCAGGCCTCAGAGAGCTGCCCCAGGTGAGGCCAGCCCGAGGAGGACCGGTGGATGGAGCAGGGGCTAGGGAGGGGATGGGAGGGTGGGGGTGACCTGAAACACCAGTGCAGGAAATAGGGCAGGGTGGAGGTGAGGTGGGCACTTCTGCCTGCAGGAGCTCCCAGCCCTGATCCCCCTCTTCAGCCCCCTCAGAGCCCCAGGCACCGGCCTCACCTGTGAGAGCCTCAGGAACTCATGAGCCTTCTGCAGGCAGGACGAAAACTCGGGCCTGTGGTGCCCGCCCGCCTGGAAGAGACAGCAGGACAGAGAGGCTCAGCTGCCCTTGCACGGCCAGCATGGCTGCGCTGGTTTCCCGATGGTCCTGGCCACATCCTGCCCCAACCGGGGACCAGAATCAAACCAGCAGACATCTCCAGAGAGTGCCAGGGTCTCCTGCTGCACTTACCTTTAAAGACAAAACAGCAAAAGTCCATGAGATATGACTGAAGATGGAAGGGCGCAGGAGACCATTTATGGATGCCAGCACCCCCCTGCCTGGCCAGCATCCATGCCCAGAGGGTCTCCAGCACCCTGTGTAGGCAGGCCCTTTGCGTGGCCCAGCCCTCAGGGCTCTCCAGAAACACCTTCAGAATCCCACCTACCTCATTCCCACCGGCATAAAAATCCACTCTCGTTTTTCTCCAGTACTGGCTCGAGAATGCCCATAACAAACAGTTCCAGTTCTTTTTTTTTTTTTTTTTTTTTGAGACGGAGCCTCTCTCTGTCACCCAGGCTGGAGTGCAGTGGCACAATCTCGGCTCGCTGCACCCTCCACTTCCCGGGTTCAAGCAATTCTCTGCCTCAGCCTCCCAAGTAGCTGGGATTACAGGTGCCCGCCACCACGCTTGGCTAATTTTTGTGTACTTTTAGTAGAGACGGGGTTTCACCATCTTGGCCAGGCTGGTCTTGAACTCCTGACCTCGTGATCCACCCTCCTCGGCCTCCCAAAGTGCTGGGATTACAGGTGTGAGCCACCGTGCCTGGCCCAAGCAGTTCCAGTTCTAAGAAGAGCCTGGAGTCCCACTCCTGCCTGCACTCTCAGAAACAGCCTTCACCAGACTCCCCTTCTCACACAGCCTCCAGCCCCTGCCCTCCCAAGGCCCCCGACCCAGCCCAACACCCAAGGCTGCTGGCCAAGGCCGCCCCCTCCACAGCACGACCCTCTGAAGCCAGAGGCCAGAGCCCAGGTCACTGGAAGTATCGAGGAGTGGCAAGTGTGTGGCCAGCAGTGCTGCCCTCAGGTGGATGCGTGGGCTCACGTGCACAGGAAGGTCAGCTGAGGCTGAGAAAAGAGAAGGAGCCACGAACCTCAAGCAGAGCCTGGATGGCGAATGCGGTGTCCCAGATCTGTGAGCCGTTGGTGCCCTACACACAAAGGATGGTGTTACAGCAGCAGATGCAGCCCCTCCCACTCCCAGCCACTGCCTCCAGGATCCAATGGGCGCCTGAGGGCCAGGTGTGGGGGCTCCCACCCAGCCAACGCTCAGCCTCAGGCTCTGAGCCCTGGGCACCCCTCATGGCTGACAAGGGCCTCAGAGAAGGCTGAGCCCTGCAGGCAGACACACGTCGGGGAGACTCAGGGAGCCCTCCCTTTCTTCATGGGCCACCAGGCAGGACAGTGTCCCTCTGAGGACACTTCTAGGACTGGACGATCCCTTAGAGGCTCCAGCACCTACACATAGAGCATCCAGCTGCTCTCACCCAATGACAGTGGCGCACCTCAGTCATGGTGATGCCTGGAAATGACCCCATTTCTTTTTTTTTTGAGATGAAGTCTCGCTCTGTTGCCCAGGCTGGAGTGCAGTGGCGTGATCTCAGCTCGCTGCAAGCTCCGCCTCCTGGGTTCACGCCATTCTCCTGCCTCAGCCTCCGGAGTAGCTGGGATTACAGGCTCCTGCCAGCACACCCAGCTAATTTTTTTTGTATTTTTTAGTAGCATCGGGGTTTCACCATGTTAGCCAGGATGGTCTCTATCTCCTGACCTTGTGATCCGCCCACCTTGGCCTCCCAAAGTGTAGGGATTACAGGCGTGAGCCACCGCACCTGGCCAATGATCCCCATTTCTGAGTACACCTGGAGGTGATGGGAATTCTGCACAGGGCTGGGAAGGCTCCACCTCAAATCTCACCCCGAGCTGGGCTCACAGGTACACAGCCTGGTCTCAGTTCAAAGGGCCGGTGACCAAACCCTAGTGAGACAGAGCTGGGCACTGACCAGACAGACATGGGGACTGGGCAGGGGGTGGTGTGTGGCAGAGGCATCCAGACATCGTGCACTGGAGGGACAAGGCAGGGACCACCAGAAAAGCATTCTCGCCAAAGAAACACAATGGGATCGAGCCTCAGGGCCTGGCCAGTTTACAAAAACTCAGGGAACATAAGAAGCAACCAGTCAGATCTGCAATGTGAAGCCCTTCAGGAACAAACCTTCCAGGAGGAGAAAAGAGACCACGAGAGACGGCTGGACTAACAGGAGCTCAAAGACCAACAACTGAAGGCCTGTGCAGGCCTGGCCTGAATCCTGATTCACAAACACCAGCCACAACGTGAGGACTACACTCAGGAACCGTCATAAGTTTGTTGGGTGTGACAACCTCAGAGCAATTTTGTCAAAACACAGACGCCCTCATCAGCTTGAGGTGCACTGATGAGTCGGTGCTGAGGGAGCGCTGGGCAGGGAGGGGCAGGGAGGGGACAGGGAGGGGCAGGGAGGCCAGGGCCTGCTCTAGGGCTTGCTACTCACCTCCACTTTACATGTGTTTTGAAAACCTTTTCACAAAACACGGACAGTGTCCGGGGAGCCTCTGGGGAGCTCAAGGCCAGCTGGGTAAAAGCTCGTGGCTGGGGGCACCTGGCACCAAGGGTAGCCCTGGGGCGGGCAGTGCTGGGCCCACGTGTATCCATCCCAAATGTGACACCCAGGACACCTCTGGAGACTCCACATTTCCACACTGAATCAGGTGGGGGACAGAAGACAGGCACCGCAGGGCGTAACCCTCCTTAGACCACAAGACACAGGGCAACACTGTCTGGGCTTCTGACACGCACAGAGGGGCGCAGGCTCAGCCCAGTCGGACAGGACTGCGGTCTACAGGGCCCCCAGAGCCAGGACAGGACCAGGGTCAGCCAGGATCCACCGGCCTCCCCTCTCCTTGTGCTTGGTGCCCCTCATGACTGGGTTCCAGCCCACTCAGGCCAAGTCCACGGGGAGCTCCCAGGCCCGGCCACACGCCACCACGGTCCTCCAGGCTCCTGTCCTGTCCACCCAGGACCTTTAAGAAGAAGCCCCTTAAATTAAGAGTGCATGGAGGAGAAGCCCCCACTAACCAGAGCCACCTCCTGCCACAGTAACAAGATGAGAGCTTCTGCAGCTCTGGGTCTGTCGTTACACAGCTGAGCCCACTCAGATCATCAGGGCAAAAAGCAAACAGGACAGCTGCAGACAGACATCGAGAACGGTGGGCACCCACACAGAGACCAACAGCACCCACAGGGACACGGCCAGAGGCCTCAACTGACTCAGCCTCTAGTCGCA
This sequence comes from Homo sapiens, assembly GCF_000001405.40. NCBI lineage: Eukaryota > Metazoa > Chordata > Mammalia > Primates > Hominidae > Homo > Homo sapiens. The sequence continues at coordinate 74,284 of NT_187626.1, forward strand.
CGCTGCCGGGACCTGGTCCAGGAGGAGTTATTTCTGAACCCCAAAGGAAAAATAATAAAGGGGAGACATGATTGCAAAGGAAGCATGCAGCCGCAGTCCCGCAGCCCTTACCTGCATTTTCATGCCGTCAAGGCCCATCCTGTGAGGAGAAAAAAGCCCAAGTCAGGTGCAAGGAGAAAGCTGGAAGCCCAGCTGCTACCCAGACCCTGCACTCAGGAGGGTCCCAGAGAGGCCGTCTGTCCCCTCCCGAGGCCTGGCACTGGCCTGGATGCCACCCCAGCTGGGCTGCTGGGCTCCTGGGGGTGAGGGCCACACTCTATGGAAAACAGGACACACTCACCCAGAAGGGCCACACCCAAGGCAAGGGGCAGCGGGAGGCTCCCCGACCCCAGGCTGTGCCAGCCCTGCCGCCCTCGTGCAGTGCTGAGGCACCAGAGGAAGAGGCCTGTACAGCGGAAGCTTCCCACCATGGGACGGCTCTCTGCCCTCCATGACAGGGGCCCCACCTCCAGGGCACAGTCCATGGCTGACAAGCTCCCCTTGTCCACAGGCCTCCTGATGCCAACCTGAACCTGCCCTGCTACCTACCACCCCCTTCCTCACTCTACCTTCTGGGAACACCCCACACTTCCACTGGGTGGCAAATCTTCCAATTCAAAGACAACCCTCAGTGGCTTCCACAAGCCCTGACACTGCTGGTTCCTGGAGGTATTCCCTGGCAGTATTCCCAGATGGCACCGTGGGGGCCCCCTCACTGGGATGCAGCTGGGGCTCAGATCCAGTCTTCGTGAGAGGCCCCGCCAGCATATCCCAGCCACACTCACCAGAGATAGTCCGGGATTCTGGAGACATGCTCCTGGAAGGCAGTGGAGGCGGGCCCGTCCACATACCAGCGCACAAGCATGTTGATGGTTTTCGAGATCTGCAGGAGAGACAGCCCTGTCAAGGCTCCGCTCCAGACCCACAGCAGCCTCCAGGGACAAGGTCTCGTCCAGATCCACAGCAGCCCCCAGGCATAAAGTGCCGTGCAGATCACTCAGGGCCAGGACAGGGGCCTTCTGCTCTAACAGGCATTTCCTGAGCGAGGATGGGCAACAACTGTGTCCCCAGGACCCAACTCAGACAGAGGCAGTGTCGGCCAAGGCCACAGCCTGCCTTAGGCTGTGAGAAGGAGCAGCACTCCACCAGGGAGAAGCGAGGGGTTCCAGGAGAAACCAGAGGGGCATGGGCTACCAGGTGCCTTAGAGACAACACAGGGGACAGAGGACAGGGCCTGAGGGGCCCAGGAAGAGATGCGAAGACAGGACTGTAGCAGTAGGGACCACTTGCCCCCCTTCTTCCTCAGAACAGAATGTTCCAGAGGCCCCCAACTTTTTACTTATGCATCTCACAAGTCAAGATCCAATTGCAAGCATGTTTCTAATGCGTTTAGTACAGATGTGCTCTATATGGGATTAAACCAAAACCCACAAAGAACCACATCACTGCTGAGCAAAAAACAAGGGACCCGCTGCAGGGTCAGTCAGGATTTGTGATCCACTGAGGTGGCATGAGGCCCAGAAAATCCGAGATGCAGTGTCAGGGTGGGACTCAGTGGCCCAGTGCCACCTGGGTATGTCCAGAGAATGCCTAAGCCAACCCACTACACCGCAGCAGCTACGCGCACAGCTATGGCAGCAGCTGCAGCACAGCCCAGGGCCTGCTGACTCTGTCAGGAGGCGGCCACGCACCAGCACAGCCCGGGAATTGCACCCTCTAAGGTCACTGAACTGGCCACACCTGGACCCCTGCAGGCCCCACAGAGGTGAGAGCTCCAAGTCCCTAGCTAGGCAGGAGGAATCAGGAGTGGCACCTGCTACTCCCACCCACCCTGGGCATGTCTAAACCCCACGGGAGAATGGCGAATGATGAACTGTTTGGGGAGAGGGAACCAAGTGAGGAAAAAGCACCCCTCCCAGCTAGCCAGCTAGCCAGCAAGATCTCAGGGAGGGGCCTCTAGGAGAGTGTCCAGGCACACTGAGGACAAGAGCCGGTGGGGGACGGAAGCGGGGGGTCGAGTGTGGTGGGGCAACTTCACTGAGCTGGGCGTGCAGGGGTCCAGGACAGAAGCCCTCAGACACTTGTGCGATCAGAGGGCCACCTCCCAAATGGAGGTACACCAGGCTCCAGGAAACCCCACTCCCAGCTCACAGCCCGGCCTCTAGGACTTCACTTTCGGACCTCAACCCCCAGGGGCTGCAGTCAGAGGCCGGGCAGGGGCACTGACCGGGCCGATGCTGATGCTCTTGGTGAATCGGTCGTCGGCCACAATGTGTTCATACAGCTTCTGCACGGCCCGCTGCCGCAGGTGGGCACTGTGGTGGTGCTCATACAGGTTGAGGAGCGCTACAGGGGACAGGGGTCAGTGGATGCCAGACACCATGACACTGGCCTCAGCCTGGAGCTCCATGCACTGCAACGCCTGGACTTGCCCTTCCCAGGGTTTCCCCCTCCCACCCACCCCCAGGCCTGGTCTCTGAGCTCCTCCTTCCCTGCCCAGGAGGGGCTGCCCCACACCTCCTACCACACACCCTTGCACAGGGTGGACTCCTGAGAGTAGAAGACCAGCTGGTTCTCAGGGTGGAGGGGCAGGGCGATGAGATCCCGCCCCCTGGGGCCTGGCACAGAGGAGGTGGCCCAGTGCCGCTGGCAGGGGATGAGTGCGTGAATGAGTGGGCGACACCCTGACCCTGACCCTGGGCTGCCCTGCCGGCCCCTCAGGAGGCGCTCACCATATACCACGCGGAGCAGCCAGCTGTGCGGCGTGTACAGCTCGTCGGGGGCCACGTTGTTCCTCTGCGCCAGCCAGTCAATGCTGGCGAAGTCCTCCACATAGAGCTCCTGGTGGGGGCAGTGTCTGAGCCTTGGGGCCTGGGAGCACCTGGTAGGCCTGGCTCAAACCAGGAGGGGTGGCCTCCCACCATCCGCCCTCAGGGCCCTGGGCCAGTCCCTTCCTGGGTGGGGGTCCCTCCAGCAACTGACCCCGAGGCCACATGAAGGCCCCCTATGGGAGGACCGCTCTGAGGAGCTCCCCAGCTCCATGAGTCCCAGGTCTGCCCAGAAGCTCATTTCCTCCCTCTGCCCCTCCTTCTTCCCCATGGCAGGCCTGATAAACATCCTGCACCTCAAACCTCGCCTCAGGCCTGCTTCCAGAGGACACAGTGCACATCTGCCTCCTGCATCCCTTGAGTCCTGGAAGTCCCCCCCAGGAACCCTGGGCTACAGCTACTGACTGTCCCATAGCACAAGTCCCCTCTGGGCAGAGCTTGCTCACTGTTTATTATAGGATGGAGGAAGGTGGAGGCTCTGCTCCACAGGGCTCTCCGCTCCACAGGGCCACCAGGTGAGTGGACAGGTGTGGTTAGATTCCAGAAGCCCCAGGCCCTGTGGGTCCCAGCCCCAGAGGCCTTCACTTTGTTCCCTGATGAGGTCCTACCTGGCGGAGGCTCTGGACCAGCGGGTCTTCCGCGGCACTCAGCCGAACGGCGTAGCAGTAGCTCATGGGCAGGTACACCTGCCGGCAGTGGCACCAGAGTGTGGAGGGGTGTGCCGGTGCCCAGTCAGGAAACAGCCTGGGGCAACAGCAGGAGTCAGTGGGAGACCCCAAGACTCAAGCCTGCCCCCTCCGCCAGCATCCATACCTTGGGCCCTTTCAAGCACGAACACTGGTGGATGGCTATTCCCCACCACGTCAGTGCATCTGCGGGCATTTCCCAACCGTGCTCCTGAGGGGCACAGTTGAACCATAGGTGCACCCTCTGAGGAGCTGCACCTCCTAGTTCGGTCAGCATTTTGCATCCTAAAACCAGGTGATGGAGCTCCTAAATGCTTAGGATTGTCCGTGGGTTTCTTAGCTACAACAAACGTACCTTGGTAACATAAAACATCAACAATGGGGATATGGTGTGAGGGCCCCAGGGAACACTCTTGGCTATCTTTGCAACTTTTCCAGAAATTGGAAACTACTCCAAAATTTAAAGTTTACTTTTAAAAGTGTATTTAAGAAACTTTAGGAGGGGCACGGTGGCTCACGCCTGTAACCCTAGCACTTTGGGAGGCCGAGGCTGGTGGATCACTTGAGGTCAGGAGTTTGAGACCAGCCTGACCAACATGGCGAAACCCCATCTCTACTAAAAATACAAAAATAAGCCAGGCATGGTGGTGTGTGCCTCTAGTCCCAGCTACTCGGGAGGCTGAGGCAGGAGAATCGCTTGAACCTGGGAGGAGGTTGCAGTGAGCCGAGATTGTGCCACTGCACACAGCCTGGTGACAGAGCGAGAGACTCTGTCTCAAAAAAAAAAAAAAGAAAAGAAAAAGAAAGAAAAAAGAAACTGTAGGTCTGTGGAATCTCCCCAAGGCCTGGGTCTTTGATCACTGGTCTGCTGACGTTAGCACAGCTCCACCAGCTTCCCAGGGTCTGTGTGTGCCTCATGTGTTTTCTCTCCCTTTCCCTGCTAGCCCCCATCCTTATGTGATGCCTTATGTGATGCTAGCCCCATCCTTAAGTGAGGGTGAGCAATGCTGAGCCTTCCCTGCTCCCTGACTGTGGCATCAGGCCTTGGCCCACTTTCACACCCACTTACTTAAAAGGGTGTTTTTTTTTCTCACATTTTGGGTTACACTTCCAGCATTTCGCAGCTGGAGTGGTTCAGGTCTGTGGTCCTCCTTTCACCTCCCAACCCACCCTCCAAGCAACTCCAGCAAAGACAAGCAGCACCCTGGCGTGCCCATGCGGCAGCACTGACCGACGGCCCCCCCAAGTGGGGCAGATGAGACGCCCTCACCAGCACCAGCGTGTGGAACCCACACCCCTCCTGCCCTGGCAGCTGTGCTGACTGCCGTCTCAGTCCTTCCTCTGCCGCTCATTACACACGGGCGAGGCGCAGAGTCCAGCGGGCATTTGAATGGCCCCAGGACACCTCCCAACCTATGTGCTCTACGGCCCGCCTCAGGTAGCGGCACCCTAACCCTGCCCCCTACTCTGGTATCTCTGTCTACCCTCCCGGGGTGATCTCACCATCCCTGTGCCTCCCCGTCACCACCCAAACTGGCTTCCGGGGTTAAGCCCCCGGCCTTTGCATCAGGACACTGCTGCTGTCCTTTCTTGAGCGGCCCCTTCACTTCCTGCCTCCCCTAACTTGACCCCCCACCCCCCACCCCCGCACCAAAGTCATCTAACACAAGGGACCCCCCCAGCCCTGCTGATAGCTCTCTAGGGGACACCCCCACCAGGGTTCCCACAACACTCAAGGAAGCCAGCAGGGGCTCTGTGTGGTTCCAGGGTCTCACTTCCCAAAATGCATAACGGGGTAAACTCATATGCACGAGTGTTTTCTGGGGAGATGTCCACTGCTTTCAATAGATAGCCATAAAATGTTACAAGACACCACATAAGGCCGGGAGCAGTGGCTCATGGCTCCCAGCACTTTGGGAGGCCAAGGCAGGCGGATCACCTGAGGTCAGGAGTTTGAGACCATCCTGGCCAACATAGTGAAACCCTGTCTCTACTAAAAATACAACAATTAGCTGGGCGTGATGGCCTGAGACTGTAATCCCAGCTACTCGGGAGGCAGAGGCAGGAGAATTGCTTGAATCCAGGAGGCGGAGGTTGCAGTGACCCCAAATCACGCCACTGCACTCCAGCCTGAGTGACAAAGCTAGACTCCGTCTCAAAACAAAACAAAAAAAACACACACCAGATAATAAGAAATTAATGTTGATTTTGCTGGGTATTTAAACAGTATGTGGTTCTGTTTAAAAAAACAAACACTGATCTTTTTTTTTTTTTTTTTGAGACAGAGTCTCACTCCGTCGCCAGGCTGGAATATGGTGGCACGATCTCGGCTCACGGTAACCTCTGCCTCCCAGGGTCAAGTGATTCTCCTGCCTCAGCCTCCCGAGTAGCTGGAAACTAGAGGCACGCGCCGCCACGCCCAGCTAATTTTTGTATTTTTAGTAGAGACGGGATTTCACTATGTTGGCCAGGATGGTCTCGATCCCTTGACCTCGTGATCTGCCCGCCTCGGCCTCCCGAAGTGCTGGGATTACAGGCATGAGCCACCCCACCTGGCCACAGACACTGATCTTTTAAAGGCACACACGCTGAGTCCACAGGTGAGGTGTCACGTCGGGACACACTTCACATTCACCAGCAAAGGAGACAAACGCAGCAGCAGCAACACAGGACGCCCCTGTGCAGGCTGGGGGAGGGGCACCCCCCCACTTCTACAGATGCTGAGTCTTCCACAGCAAGAGGGAAGCCACCCAGCCCTGCCTGCAGCCTGACTCGGGGTACCTCCATCCATGGCACAGCCTTCTTCCTGCTCAATTGGGAACCTCCCCCTTTCTGTACCCCTACAGGACTCAAGCTTGATCAGGGCCTCTGCCAGGAGCCTAACTCCACCCACCCACAGAATGCCCACCCCTCTCTGCTGTCACAGCCTGCACCTGACCCACGGTCCCTGTCACTCTACTCCCCGGGACAGCAGCAGCGACCCAACAACCCAATCAACAGCAGACATACCACATCTCTGGGAACAGGGTATTGAGGCCTTCCCAGCTGTAAACATTCAGGACAGCCAGCCAGAACTTCCCCCAGGAGGGGATGGCCACAGCACCACCTGAGCGGGGAGAGAATAGGCCCACGTCATCTGCTTCCTGTCAGCAAAGTCTGCACTGCCTCTAGCTGGGAAGCTTCACCCTCTGGGAGTCACGTGTGCCCCTCTCCATGAGGCAAGGGCAGCCTCATGTGGATCTTGCGACCCCCATGTGCGAAGCAGGTTCCAGAGTGCTGAGAACTTGCCTGGATACACGGCCCCCTAGGTGGAACCAGTGGCTTTCCTGGGAGTGTGTGTGTCCAGCCCCAGGAGAGGTGTTTGCAACCCCTGGCCCCAGGAAGGAGCACATGAAGACAGCTACCTGGGAAGGTCCAGGGACACCTCAGTGCTCAGGTGAGCGAGGGGCCCAGGTGCACATGCGCCTGGAGAAGGCAAGGTGGGGAAGTGACAGCGCACACTCAGCCTCGCCCTCTGAGCCAAGCCTGAGCTGCCCCAGTCTGTGTCATCTCCACTTGGCAGACTGGTCCTGTATGGGAACAAAGACGACCCTAGACTCCAGAGTAGCTCCGGCACGCTGGCCCCATGCCAGAGCCACTTCAGCAGCAGCAGTCCTGGCACAGCCACACCATCTAAACATGCTTCTGAGGAGTCCCTGCTCCAAACCCCAAAAGGTATGCAAAAGTCAATAAAGACCCACAAAGCTACTAGGCAAAGTGCAGCCTAAACACGTTCCTTCACCAGGCAGGCGCCAGGAGTGTGGTGGGAACCGGACAGCAGCCTTGGGGACGCAGCATCAACGACACCAAAGGCTGACAGTGAACTGAGGACAATAGTGACAAGCTCACCAAGAAAGAAGGCAGGATCTCATGAGAATGCGTAACAGGACACTCCACCTGGCACGGTAGGTCAGGAAGAGGTCCTCAAAGAAGGAACACGTAAAGTGTGAGCCAGCGGGGCAGGAGTGGAAGGTAAGAGGCTCCAGGCGAAGGAGGCAGTGCATGGCGAGCCCTGGGATAATAAGGGTCTCTGAGGAGCTGACAGGAGGCCCCTGCGCATGCAGCAGAGAGCAGGGCAGGTGGGACTGGCTACGGAAGGTCTGTGAAACACAGAGGACAAGACCAGGCCAGGCTCTGCAGAGCCACAACATAAACTAGGTTTTCTTGGAGCAGCAGGAGCCATGGATTCCCTTGGGCTGGAATTGCCCCTCAGGGCCTATAGGCAAGAGGAGAGGTAGCCAGGCCGGGCATGGAGAGGTAGCCAGGGGCTTGGAGAGGTAGCCAGGCCGGGGCTTGGAGAGGTAGACAGTTGGGGCTTGGAGAGGTGGACAGCCTGGGGCTTGGAGAGGTAGCCAGGCCAGGGCTTGGAGAGAAAGATAGTTGGCGCTTGGAGAGGTGGACAGCCCAGGGCTTGGGGAGGTAGCCAGGCCAGGGCTTGGAGAGGTAGACAGTTGGGGCTTGGAGAGGTGGACAGCCTGGGGCTTGGAGAGGTAGCCAGGCCGGGGCTTGGATAGGTGGACAGCCAGGGCTTGGAGAGGTAGCCAGACCAGGGCTTGGAGAAGTAGACAGTTGGGGCTTGGAGAGGTAAGACAACCCGGGGCTTGGAGAGGTGGACAGCCCGGGGCTTGGAGAGGTGGACAGCCCCGGGCTTGGAGAGGTGGACAGCCCCGGGCTTGGAGAGGTGGACAGCCCCGGGCTTGGAGAGGTAGACGATCAGCTTGGAAGGTGCAAGCTCCAGGGCTGCTCTTGCCTGCAGCCAGGCTGCCCCCAGAAGGTGGACATATTAACACGGTTCGTTTAAGTTTTTGCCAATTCAG
>NT_187631.1:0-101331 GCF_000001405.40 Homo sapiens
AGCCAGGAATCTGGATTTTTGTGTGAAATCCCCTGACCTGTTAGTGTTGGCAATGAACTTAAATTTAAAACACTGTAGCTGCAGTAGAAACCTCTGTTGACCGGTTCAACCTGGGGGCTGCTCATCTACGATCTTTGGTAAAGAAAGGAAGACCAACATGTGGACAAGTCACTGTGCCACAGGTGGATATGGGACTCCCTATGTACACCTCGAGGAGCATTCCTAACCCTGGGTGGATGGAGAGGGAGTCGGGAAGGATATTCTGAAAGGAGAGCCTTGTAGGAATTTGCGAGGTGGACACAGGGGAAGGCAAATGCTGGGTGGATGGGTCAGCACATGCAAAGGCTCAGAGCTCTGGGAGGGCAGCAGATGGAACACACGGTGGAATGGCAAGACCCAGAGTAGAACCCTTGTTTGAGGAATTAATTCAACAAATATTCTGTTGAGTGCTTGCTAAGCACTAGGACGTAGAGGTGGACAGAACCATCTAGCCCAGTGGAGCGGCAGATGATCAAGCAGTAATGATCTATGATTGCATGTAGTCAATGTTGAATAGGGGAGGATGTGGTGCAGAAAGAACAAATACCCTATGCTCTGATCCCTGGACTGGCACACCAGCATCACCTGGGGATTAGTAAGAAATGCATTTTCCCAGGCCCCACCCCTGACCAGCTGAACACTGGAGGTGGAGCCCACAATCTGCTTCCATAAGGCCTCCTGGTGACTCCGACACAAGCTCATGTTGAGAACTGCTTTTCTTAGCTAATGCCAGGACCCACCTTTATCTACTCTATTGGGTCATTTTACTGTTTTTCAAGCTCCTCGGGAACGTTCCCACCGCAGGGCCTTTGTACGCACTGTTCCCAATGAGGCTGTATGACTCTCCTTCATGATCTTCAGATCTCAGCTCAAACGTCATGCCTTCGGGGAGCCCTCCCAAACACACAATTTAAGCATCGCCCCCAATCTGTCAGTCTCAATATCCTTGACTTACTTTACTTTCTTCATAGCGTTCACTACTACCAGAGATTACACAGTCTGTCCCTCTGTATCCGTGGGGGATTGGTAACCATGGATATCAAAATCCAGGGCTACTCAAGTCCCCTATATAAAATGTTGTAATATTTGCACAAAACCTACACACGTCCTCCTGTATACTTTAAGTCACCTCTAGATTACTTTCAATAACTAATACAATGGAAATGCTATAGAAATATTGGTATACTGTATTTTATCTGTATTATTTTTATTGTTGTATTGTTATTTTTTTATTTTTGCAATGTGCAGTTAGTTGAATCCAGAGATGTGGAACCCGTGGATGCAGAGGGCCACCTATATTCCATATTTATTAGTTTATTTATATGGTATCTGTCGCCCTCCACTAGAAGGTAAGCTTCATGAGAACTGACACTTGGTCTCTTTTGTTCACCCAGTATCTAGGACAGTCCCCTGCATGGTGAGGCACCCCGTAAATACTTCTGAATGAATGAATGACTCTCATAGGGTTTACCCTTCCGGTTGTGTATTCATTCATTCAACAAGCACCAACTCTTGAATATCAGTTTTTGGGCAAGCAATGGGCTTACTACTGAGAGATGTGCAATGACCATTCAGATGGGGTAACCTCATCCTGGGTCCTCTCCCACCCCTAGCCTGCACCCCTAGCTACACCCATATGCTCTGTGGAAGAGGAAGTATTAACAGTGCTGCTTCCCAAAGCCAGGGACTAGACTGTTGGGGCTGATTACTGGGGCTTTGGATAAGAGGGGAGTGGAGGGGCAGCTGCTGACAAGTTGTTCCCAGAAATTGTTCAATCATCCTGGGGTTGAACACGTCCCGACATCCCTGAAGAGCAGCATGCGGATGAGCCACGGCTCCCTGCCAGGGACAGCAGCAACATTCCACGCACAGCGCCAGGGCTGATCATCCCCAATGCAGGGCCCAAGCCCCTTTGCCACTGTGTCTTGACAGCCAGGGGGTTCTCCTTCTGCCTGGGCCCCATCACAGCCCCTTCACTTATAGGGTGTAGTAGCAGAATTGTTGGATGGAATCCAACAATTGGGTAAATAGGAGATTTTAGGGGAAATTAAATAATTGAGAGTGATTCTGCATGAATTCTCAAGAAGAATATCTTTCATACATTAAAGCAGATTTGCTCAAATGCCCTCATGTCAGAGGCAATGCCAAAAAGAGAGTGCTAATAGATTTGTAGAAATTTTATGTATTTAGATCAGGGTTTCCCTACCTCGGCACTATTGACATTTGGGGGTGAAGGGTTCTTAGTTATGGGGGCTGTCCTGAGCAATATAGACAGCATCTCTGTCCTCTGCCCACTAGATGCCAGAGCAAGCTCCCTTGCTGAGACCACCAAAAATGTCCCTGGACATTGCCAAATGTCCCCTGGGGGGCAAAATCTTCCACGGATGAGAAGCACTGATTTAGATGTATGAACCCACTGAATAAAGGATATTGATTTTGCACTTGCAATCTACAAGGCCTTGGGCCTCGGGCTTCCTGGGCTTGAATCTTTGTCTTGCCACCTCTCCTCTGTGTCTCAGTCTCCTCCCACCTGCTCCAGTAGGCGCTTTGAGGCTCAGAAGAGTGGCCACATGCAAGGGGTCCCCAGCACGCCTGACACGTGGTAAGACTCAGTGAGCACCAGTTCTGATGAACAGCCACTGGGGTGGCCATGAGTCCCTGGAGGAGGATTTATAATGCGGTGGTACAGTTCTGTTTTACAATTTCCTATAACGCACTGTCACATCTGGTGCACTGCCTTCTCTCGGTAATGACCTTTGCTGTTCTTTTTTCCACTGTTCACGTGGGCCCGGTTGTTTATGTCTCCGCTGATGCAGTACTTGGCGGTGGCCATCTCAATAAAGGGCAGAGGAAATGGAACTGACTCACCTTCTGTGCGCCCGGAATGCAAAGTGGAGGCCTGAGCTGTGGCCTCGGCGGGGCACGGAGGCCGCGATGTCCTGATTCTGTCAGCAGGGGGCAGCAGCAGCCGGGAAATTGTCTGCTGCAGGAGGGCAGAAGGGCTGCCGCCTTTTGACTTATTTGCTGCCGCCTTTATTTAAAGTTGAGCAAATCATCCCTCCAGAGCCACCCGGAGGCCCCCTTTAACAGCCCGAGATACTCCATCTGCAGAAGCCAAGAGCCGCTTTTCCAGAACGTTCCACATTAGTGCATCTCTGTCCGTTTGCTCGCCAACTGAGAATGAGAGGCTGAGACATCACCTGGGCGCCTCTCTTTGAGGCGCGGTGCTTTGATTTACATCCCAGAGCCAAGGGCTCCTGAGTCCTGCTGGAGAGTTCTTCTCGCACCTGCCGCCTTCCCTCACTGCCCCCTTTCCACACTCCACGCATAAAGCCTGGGTGGTTGTGTTCAAGGAGGGCCAAGGAATTCTGGGTGCCCCAGGCTGAAGCTATGTCAAATTCTGCTAGAGGCAAAGTTGAGTGGGTCCCTGACACTCTACCCTTTTTTCCCTTCCCCGGCCCCCACTCCATATAACACCCTGCAGCTGCGCGACACAGTGCCCTTCCCAGAACAGCCCTCCCCCGGCAGCTGCACCCACCACACTCAGGGCCCATCTTAGTTGATTCCTCACCTCATGCACTTGGAAACTTAATAGCCCAGTTTCATTCTCGCATCATACCTTGGAATACGCCGTAGACATCCTGGGTTCCATTTTCCACCCAGCGGCCAGCATCGTCCTTTACAAATCTTAATTTCGGATAGGTAATCTCACCCCAAGATTCAACATTTAAAAGAGAAAATCTACAGAGAACGTCCCCTCCGTCCCGCCCCTGACAGTTGCTTATGTACCCTTTCGGAGAGATTTTACATATATCCCAGCACAAAAGCACATACACATTCTTTTTTTTTTTTTTCCTTGGGACAGAGTCTTGCTGTTTCCCAGGCTGGAGTGCAATGGCGCAATTTCGGCTTGCTGCAATCTCCGTCTCCAGGGTTCAAGCCATTCCCCTGCCTCAGCCTGCCGAGTAGCTGGGACTACAGGCGCCCGTCACCACGCGTGGCTAATCTTTTGTATTTTTAGTAGAAACGGGGTTTCACCGTGTTAGCCAGAATGGTCTCGATCTCCTGACTTCAGGTGATCCGCCAGCCTCGGCCTCCCAAAGTGGTGGGATTACAGGCGTGAGCCACCGTGCCTGGCCACATACACATTCTCATTCTTTCTCTCCTTCTTCCCTCTGCAAATAGAAGCCAGCACCCGCTCTTCCATCTAATGTACTTTGGAGTGGCCCCATGTCTGTACTCAAAGTGCGCTCGGTCTTTTGTGTGGCTGAGTCCCGTTCAGCTGTAAAAAGTGATACTTCTAAATATCACCGCATTTCCACTGAAAGTCCCCCAAAGGCTTCCCACTGTGCTTGGGGGAAAGTCCACCTTTCCCACGGAGCTGTCAGGACTGGTGAGTGGGCAGTGCCTCCTCCCTGGCAGTTTTCATCTGCCCAGCAGCTGGCTCTCTGCATCCTCACATTCGACTTGCCCGTTCTGCCTCAGGGCCTTAGCCCTGCTGCCCTCACTCATCTAGTTAACTCCTGTATGCCTTTCTCAGCTCAAACATCATTTGCCCTCCATGTCCTGCACACTCTGGACACCAGTGGCAGTCACCACCACTTGTAGTTACTGTCGGGGCACACCACTGCAGGCTCTAGAGCCAGACAGACCCCTGGGGTTCAAATCCCAGCTCCACCACTTCCTTGCTGTGTGACCTTGGGCAGCTGACTACACCTCTCTGTCCCTGTTTCCTCCCATGTGGAATGGGAGCATGAATAGATCCCTGGTCCTGGGGTTTTGTAGTGGGGATTAAATGACTGGCCAGAGCAAGCCTCTACTACCTGCTGGTGCAAATCTTTGAGGGAGGACCACGTCTCCTTGGCAGCCATCATATCCTGGTGCCTGGTTGATAGTAGGAGTTCTATAAATATGAGTCAAAATGACTGCACTTTAGTATGGGTCTCTGTAGGAATCATCGTCTTAACCCACTGGTTCTCAAACTGAGCCGCTCATGATACTAGTTAATAACATGATAATAACAGCCAGGCTGGGTGTGGTGGCTCACGCCTGTAATCCCAGCACTTTGGGAGGCCGAGGAAGGTGGATCACCTGAGGTCAGGAGTTCGAGACCAGCCTGACCAACATGGTGAAACCCCATCTCTACTAAAAGTACAAAAATTTGCCAGGTGTGGTGGCTCACACCTGTAGTCCCAGCTACTCAGGAGGCTGAGACAGGAGAACTGCTTGAACCCGGGAGGTGGAGGTAGCAGTGAGCCGAGATCACGCCACTGCACTCCAGCCTGGGCAACAGAACGAGACTTCATCTCAAGAAAAAAAGAACAGAAAGGAAAAGAAGAGAAAAGAAAAGAAAAAAGAAAAAAAATTAACAGCCTGCCGTCACTGACCCAGGCCAGGCTCTCTCCTTAGATTGTGTCATCTCACTCTCACAACCATCTGGACAGGCAGGTAGCATCATGATCTCAAGATCCCTATTTTACAAGTGAGGAAACTGAGGTACAAAGAGATTAAGTAGCTTGTCAGAGGTCACACAGTAGCTGAGCTAGGAGTCAAATTCAGGAAGCCTTCTAGGAAACAATAAACATTTGATAAACATTGTCTTAACCCAAAGATGCTTATCTCTGTGACTAGGGGAAGGGGCTCTGCCTAATTCTATTCTGGGCAGGTGTCCAGACCCAGCTCAAATGCCCCTCCTTCCTCCTACCTCCAACCCTGCATCCCATGTCCTGATTTACACCTGGACTCTCAGAGAGGAGAGGTGGCTGTTCTACCCAAACCAATCCATCTAATTAAGGATTTGCAGCCCCTGATATCCTCTCCAGCCAGTGCCCTGACTGTTATCCCCTCTGAGCCTTCTGCGTCTGCTGCCCTCTGCCACCCCTGCTGCCCACACAAGCTCGAGCCTTTCCCACATCTCCAAGGGAGACCATCCCTTATTCCTGCATTTCATCCTTGAAAGTATGGCTCCTCCAAGGACTTTCCAGGCCCTCTTTCATTCCCTCACCTCCACTTATTCCATGATATGCCACAAACCATCTTACCCCAAACCTGTGTCAAAGGTTACTCATGGCCAGGCGCGGTGGCTCACGCCTGTAATCCCAGCACTTTGGGAGGCCGAGATAGGCAGATCACTTGAGGTCAGGAGTTCGAGACCAGCCTTGGGCAACATGGTGAAACCCTATCTCCACTAAAAATACAAAAATCAACCGGGCATGGTGGTGCATGCCTGTAATCCCAGCTACTCGGGAGGCTGAGGCAGGAGAATCGCTTGACCCCAGGAGGTGGAGGTTGCAGTGAGCTGAGATTGCGCCACTGCACTCCTGCCTGGGTGACGGTGAGACTCTGTCTCAAAAAAAAAAAAGGAAAATCACTCATGGCTGGGTGGTCAAGTCCAATGCCAGGGTTTAGGATAGGGGACACTTTGCGCTTACTATGTGCTAGGCCTGGAATAAGCACTTAAGCCTCATAGTAACTGCATGAATTGGGGACTATCATTATGCCCATTCTACAGATGAGGAAACTGAAGCACAGGGACGTTTAGCAATATACTAGCCATGAACCCACCTTCTTAGCCACTGGCCACACTATCTCCAATGGAGCATCTCTGCAGAGGTGGCACTGCCTCTCCTTCCTCCCGGCATTCCTCTGCCTTGCTTGGAGACCCCTCTTCTCCTGCTTCTCTTCCTGCAGCTTCCCCCTCCACTGGGCTTTCTCCCATACCTTGGAGCCTTCTCTGCTCCCTGCTCCTGAAGTGACTCCCCTAGGGCTCATCCTGACCCTTCCTTCCCTCCAGGGGCTTCCTGGTGAGCACTTTCTCTGTCACTTGACAGACAGCAGTCCACTTGATATGGCTGGGCTTGGGACAATAATACCTGTAACCTCCCTCTTCTTTAAAGAGTTACCACGAGGGTCAAAACTGACACCACGTAGTGCCTAAGCGTGCTTTGCAAACTGTGAAATGCTGGACAAAGGTAACGGCTGTCACTGTTACCATGATCAGCTCCGTTCAGAGGTTGGTTCCCTCATCCTCTCCTCCAAATATTTTTGGCACAAGTCGTCAGCACCCATATGCGGCATCTGGGAGCTGAAATTCAGAAGCCGCCTAACGGGTTGTGAAAATATCCGTTAGATGTTCAGGCTATAAAGCTGGGGGGCCTTTCTCCAATGGAACTGCAGGGGAAACGCAGGCTGGCTGAGAGAAGAGCATTATCCGACTGGGCCAGTGGGGCAGGACTCCAGGCTGCCTCCCGAGCCTCTTAGAGCTGTAAACAGGCGTGATTGTTTTGGCAGGAGGCATCCCACTGTCAAAGAGGAAGCTGATGAGATGCAAAGCAACCCAGACCCTTTCAACTTCTCCCACCCGAGGGTGGTGTGCCCAGTGATGCGAGCACCCGGTAGAGGGACAGGAGGGCAGACATTTAAGCCAACAGATCTGAGTTTAAAGTCTGAGCAAAAAACATGTCTGTGGCCTACTCTCAGTATCCCCATCTGGCTTGCTGGGAAAGATTTTGAACATCCTACCGACTTAATCTTTGTTGGGAAAACACAGTTTTGGGATATGCCGAGCTGGAGAGTGGGCTCTGAATTGTGTAATATACTCCCCGACTGCTGGACTTCACCTGGTCTGGTAACTCTTACCTGGGCTCCGTCCATTTTCCAGAGGAGGAAACTGAGGCTCAGCTAAATGCATCAAATGACACGTGGACACGAAATAGCTAATAAGAAGAAGGACTGAGACGAGAATTGAAATCTTCTCTCTCCAAACCTGAACCCCCTGGCTTACTGGCTGGGTGATCTTGGGAGAGCTCGTGAACTTCTCTGAGCCTCTGTTTCCTTATCTGTAAAGTGGGGCTGATGATGAGACCTACCTCTGAGAGCTGTGAGGGTTACATGGGATTCTTACATGGAAACCACTTGGCCCAGCCGAAGAGTAAACACTGGGTGAATGCCCCCGGTTATTACTACTTTAGGGCACACAGTTGTTAAATAAATAGAGGAGTGGATGAATAAATAAATGCACTCTTTTCTCTACCAGGGACTGGAAGCTTTCTTTGCAAGAAGCCCATGAAGTGTAGGCAATTTCCTTTTGATGGCAATAAAGTTGGGCCTCGCTTCCTCTGTGATTCACATTCTTGAAGATCTTTCCAAATGCAGAGAAAGGGCTGGCCCCAGATCATCCGACATGGTCTCTCTGGTGATGCTGACAAGGTGACGTTTTGGATGATTATGCAAGAAACCTTCCAAGAACTGACCCTCTGCTCCAGCAAAAAGCTTTGAATTTTGCAAAACTGCCGGAGCATAGCAATTTCTCATCTGGCGCTGGCTCACCCAGTGAGCTTTGCAGGCATCCCAGAATTGTCTCTGAAACACTCTGCCCATTGCCCTCTCTTCGCCCCTCGAGAGTTAACAGATGTGAGCGCTACAGGAGAGGGTGACAAGTGGCCCAAGACCTGGAGAAGCTGGGGTGGTAAGAGCAGGGCGCAGGCTTCTTGCTGGAGTGCATCCCAGGCGGCCCCGCAGGCTCTCTGGTGAATACAGAGAGCATCAGAGCACACTCTGTTTCCACAGCACGATGTTCAAGGGACTGGTCCTGCAGCGACTGCTTCCCTGCCACATTTGCTCTGGGCTGTGGAGAGCTGGCTGCTTTCTAGTTTGTGTTCCTGAATACTGGACACGCATCGGGACTGTGGTGCAAATAACCCCACAGGATAGACCAGTTTAGCTCGGGCTCCAGGATTAGATAAACCACATACAATCCCCAACTCCAACACTGGCTTGGTGGGGCTTCCCCAGGAGCCAATCCACAGCAAGGACTAGAGTACAAGTGGTTTATTGTAAAGTGATTCCCAAAGCACCTCCAGGGGAGTGGACAAGTGAGAGAGGGAGAAGGAGGAAGGCAGAAGGGGGAACTAATGAGCCCACCACCACCACCTGTGGTCTACAGAGGCTCAGGCCTGCCGGGCTCTGGGAGACTGCCTGGAGCTGACCTCAGATCATCCTGGCAGAGGGGAGGAAGCTGGTGTGTTCTGATCCAGCTCACTGTTCTGTGTTGGTTGAGGGCTGCACAGGGCACTGCTCTCGGGCGCTTCTGCCTCGGCCTGTGCAGGGGCTGAGTGGGCTCCCACAGCCCTTGGACAAGAGGCTTAGGTCTTCAGGGCAAGGGGGATGGGGGTGCAGGCCCCCCGGTATCTGGGATATGAGATCCATCACCCAGGCTTGGATGGAAAGTATACTCAACGGAGGAAGTGCTCAAGGCAGGAGGCGATTACTATTACAGTTTGCTACTCATGTGTCTGGAAGGGCCCTTCCTTCCTTGCTTCCTTCCTTTTTTCTTTCTTTCTTTCTTTCTTTCTTTCTTTCTTTCTTTCTTTCTTTCTTTCTTTCTTTCTTTCTTTCTTTTTTTCTTTCTCTTTCTTTTTCTTTCTCTTTCTTTGTTTTCTTTCTTTGTTTGTTTCTTTTTTTTTTTTTTTGAGATGGAGTTTTGCTCTTGTTGCCCAGGCTGGAGTGCAATGGTGTGATCTCGGCTTACCACAACCTCCGCCTCCCAGGTTCAAGTGATTCTCCTGTCTCAGCCTCCCGAGTAGCTGGGATTACAGGTGCATGCCACCATGCCCGGCTAATTTTTGTATTTTTAGTAGAGACAGGGTTTCACCATGTTGGCCAGGCTGGTCTCGAACTTCCGACCTCAGGTGATCTGCCTGCCTCAGCCTCCCAAAGTGCTGGGATTACAGGTGTGAGTCACTGCGCCCAGCTGGCCCTTTTCTTTCTTAACGTGAGAACGGTCTGTCTTTCAAATGCCCAACTTAGATGCCACATCTTCTATGGTACCTTTTAATGTTTTATTTTTTTAGAGACACGGGATCTCTCAACGTTGCCCAGGCTGGACTCAAACTCCTGGGCTCATGCAATCCTCCCACCTCTGCCTCTGGAGGAGCTGAGACTACAGGTGGACGCCAACGCACCCTGTATGGCACCTTTTTCTGCCTGTATTGGTTCCTCAGGGCTGTTGTAACAAGTGACTATAAACTAGGTGACTTAAAAGGACAGAGATTTATTCTTCCATGTTTCTGGAGGCCAGCAGTCTGAGATCCAGGTGTCAGCAGTCCCCCTGTGAAGACTCTGGGAACACTCTCTCCTTGCCTCTTCCGGCTGCTGGTCCCTGGCTGTGGCAGCATCACCCCAGCCTCCGTCTTCACCTCTGCCTTCACTGGGCTTTCTTCCCTGGGCCTCTGCCCGTCTTCTCCTTTTCTGTCTCTTTTAAGGACACCTGTCATTGGATTTATGGCCCACCCTTATCAAGGAGGATCTCATCTCGTGATCCTTACCTTAATTACATCTTCAAAGACCCTTATTCTGAATAAGGGCACAATCCGAGGCTCTGGAGGACCTAGCTTGTGGGGAGTGCTATTCAACCCACTACACTACGTGTTGTAAATTTTCTTTGATTTCTACAGCATTAGTTAGAATTACGTCTGTTTCAGGTACAGACTGCAGCAACTTAACCAAACAGGGGCCTGTTTTCCTCCTGTCACAGGCACTCTTTTTTGTTGTTGTTGTTTTTGTTTGTTTTTTGAAATGGAGTCTTGCTCTGTCGCCCAGGCTGGGGTGCAGTGGCATGATCTCGGCTCACTGCAGCCTCCGCCTCCTGGGTTCAAGTGATTCTCCTGCCTCAGCCTCCTGAGTAGCTGGGATTACTGGTGTGCACCATCACACCTGGCTAATTTTTGTATTTTTAGTAGAGGTGGGGTTTCACCATGTTGGCCAGGCTGGTCTCGAACTCCTGGGCTCAAGTGATCTTCCCACCTCGGCCTCCCAAAGTGCTGGGATTATGGGCACGAGCCACCCTTAGGCTGGCAGCTTGCAGGCCAGTGGGAGGGCTTTAAAGAGCCATCAGGGACCCAGGCTTCTCCTGGATTTCTAATGCCGCTGTCCTCAGCTACGTCTTTAGTTTCTGTGGTTATAGGAAGACAGCTCCGTCTCTGGGCACCAAGTCTGCATCCTAGACATGGCAAAGGAGGAAGACCAAAGCCAGAGGCTTCCGTGCAAACCCCACCCAGGGCTGCCTGTGGACATCCATAGACCAAAACCGTGTCCCCTGGTCAGGGGAGTATTTTCCACAGGGCACATTGCTGCCCTGCCCCTAAATGGGTTTCTGATGGAAAGAAAGAGGTGAGAATTAGTGGTGAGTAGGCAACAGTGATGATCAGTGGGTAATAATATGTAATGTCACCTATAAAAAATTAAACTCCACAGCATAAGCATGTCCCCAGGTCACTACAGAAGAGCCTCAGTATTTTAAAGGACACGTGATAGTATGTTTGTGGATGCCCATCATGTTTCTCAAGCTCTGCCCTTTCTGCATTGCCGCAGCTGCCTGTCTGCACGCCACCGCCTGTCTGCACGCCGCCGCCTGGCCCTGAGGGAGGCTGGGGCCAGGTGTGGGCACTAAGGTATGCCCAGAGCAGCATCAGAAGCAGGAGATGGTGGTGATGCCACCACTATGAGACAGCATCAGAGCCAGGAGGTGGCAGGCACACTGCAGGGACAGCCACTCAGGCAGAGCAGCCCACAGGAGGGACGTGAACTGCCAACTCATCTCTGAACCCAGTGACATCAGCACATCAGAGCCTTAACCCTGCTGGCGTTCTGAACTCTGGGTCAGGTCAGGAAGCAGAAAATAAGAACAACGGCATGGAAACTTCTCTGCCTCTTTAGGAAGTGGCACTTTCTTTGGATCCATCCGTTGACACCTGTGCTCAGTAGATAATCTGGTGAATGATTGATTCAACAAGGTAACAAGGAGCCAGCAGGAGGCTAAATGAGTTTTTAATGACTGTAAGTCATCTCAGATCACAGCGTCTCCAAGTTGGGAGGAACATGTTGTCTAGGGGAACTCTCCTGCTGATGCATGAGTTCTTTCAACAAGTTCCCTCATTTCCATTTGCATGCCTCTCATGACGGGATGCTCACTGCCTTGCAGAATGGCCGGTCTTACTGCTCTACGGCTCCAAGGGTAGACAGGGCTTCCTTAGGTTTAGTCAAGAGCTGTTGCCTTCTCAATCCCACTAGTTGTTCCTGATTTTGTGCCCACAGAATCACACAAAATAAACCCAGTTTCCCTTCAGACTCCACTCCCTGCCCCTAATTATAGAAAGGCTTAATTTTCTCCATTTGTAGGTGCTTTGCTTTCCTTTTTGCTTTCTGTGTTTATTTACTCAACGAAGATGTATTAAGCATCCCCTTTGTGCCAGGGAGCGTATGAAGTGCTGGGGTTACAACGGTGAAGGATTCCAGCACGTAGGAAACCTAAGAACGAAACAGGGAAGGTGGGTGAGGACAACGATAATTGCAGTGAAATTCACATGGCAAGCAACCAACCATTTTAAAGTGTACAAGTCAGTGACGTTCACAGTCATGTGTAACCACCACCTCTGGCTTCAAAACTTGTCACCACCCCAGAATACCTTGTACCTATTAAGTAATCACTCCCCTTTCTCTGCTTCCCCATCTCCTGGAAACCACTAATGTGTCTTCTCTCTCTACGGACTAACCCATTCAGGATATTTCATATATGTATTTATTTACTTATTTTATTTTATTTTTTTGAAGACAAAGTCTCACTCTGTCAGCAGCTGGAGTGCAATGGCACAATCTCAGCTCACTGCAACCTCCACCTCCCGGGTTCAAGTGATTCTCCTGCCTCAGCCTCCCTAGTAGCTGGGACTACAGGCATGAGCCACCACGCCCAGCTAATTTTTGTATTTTTAGTAGAGACGGGTTTCATCATGTTGGCCAGGCTGGTCTCGAACTCCTGGCCTCAAGTGATCTGCCCGCCTCAGCCTCCCAAAGTGCTGGGATTACAGGTGTGAGCCACCGTGCCCGGCCCTGGGTATTTCATATAAAAGGAATCATCTAATATGTCATCTTTTGTGACTGGCTTCTTTCAGGTAGCATAATGTTTTCAAGGTTTACCTAAGTTGTAGCACGTATCAATGCTTTATTCTTTTTTATGGTTAAAAATATTCCATTGTACGGTATGTCACATTTTGACTATCCATTCATCCATTGATGGACGTGTGGGTTGCTTTCACCTTTTGGCTATTATGAATAATACTTGCTATAAATATTTGTGTACAAGCCCAGGCCCAGTGGCTCATGTCTGTAATCCCAGCGATTTGGGAGGCCAAGGCTGGCGGATCACCTGAAGTCAGGAGTTCGAGACCAGCCTGGCTAACATCATGAAACCCCGTCTCTACTAAAAATACAAAAATCAGCTGGGCGTGGTGGTGCACGCCTGTAAACCCAGCTGCTCGGGAGGCTGAGGCAGGAGAATCACTTGAACCCGGGAGGCAGAGGTTGCAGTGAGCTGAGATCGCACCACTGCACTCCAGCATGGGTGACAGAGCAAGACTCTGTCTCAAAAGACAAAAACAAACCAAAAATATTTGTATCTAAGTCTTTGTGTGTATGTGTTTTCATTTCTCTTGGATATACACCTAGGAATGGAATTTCTGGAACATATAGAAACTCATGTCCCATAAACTTGTGTCCTAAATTTTTTTTTTTTTTTTTTGAGACACAGTCTCGCTCTGTCACCCAGGCTGGAGTGCAGTGGCGTGATCTCAGCTCATTGCAACCTCCACCTCCCGGGTTCGAGTGATTCTCCTGCTTCAGTCTCCTGAGTAGCTGGGACTAGAGGTGTGTGCCACCACGCCCCGCTAATTTTTTGTATTTTTAGTAGAGATGGAGTTTCACCGTGTTAGCCAGGATGGTCTCGATCTCCTGACCTCGTGATCTGCCCGCCTTGGCCTCCCAAAGTGCTGGGATTACAGGCGTGAGCCACTGCACCCAGCCTTTTAACTTTTTAAGGAATGGCCAAACTGTTTTTCACAGTGACTGCACCACTTTATGCTGTCACCAGCAATATATGCGGGTACCAATTTCTCAGCATCCTTGCCAATGCTTCTTATTTTCATTTTTTTGGATGACAGCCACCGTGGAGGGTGTACAGGCACCTCATTGTGATTTTGCTGTGCATCTCCTTAATTACAAATGGTGCTGAGCATCTTCTCATATGCCTGGTGGCCATTTGTATATCATCTTTGGAGAAATGTCTCTTCAAGTCCTTTGCCCACTTTTTAATTGGGTTGCATGATGGTTAGTTTTATGTGTCAATTTGACTGGGCCACAGGGTGCCCAGATGTTTGATGAGACATTCTCCCAGGTGATTCTGTGAGGGTGTTTGGGGATGAGTTCATATTTAAAATAACTGAATAAAGTGATTGCCCTCCTTAATGTGGGCGAGACTCGTCCAATTAGTTCAAGGCCTGAATGGAACAAAAAGGCTGACCCTCCTCCAAGGAAAAGAAAATTTCTTTCACTGCCTTCAGCCTGGGGCATTGGCTTTTTTCCTGCCTCTGGACTCAGAAGCTATACCATCAGCTCTCCTGGGCCTCCAGCTTGCCGATTCATCCTGCAGATGCTGGGGCTTGTTCATCTCCCTAATTGTGTAAGCCAGTTCCTTACAACAAATCTTTTTTTTTTTTTTTTAATAGATGGAATTTTGCTCTTGTTGCCCAGGCTGGAATGCAATGGTGTGGTCTCAGCTCACTGCAACCTCCGCCTCCTGGGTTCAAGTGATTCTCCTGCCTCAGCCTCCCAAGTAGCTGGGATTACAGGCATGTGCCACCATGCCCAGCTAATTTTGTATTTTTAGTAGAGACAGGGTTTCTCCATGTTGGTCAGGCTGGCCTCAAATTCCCGACCTCAGGTGATCCGCTCGCCTCAGCCTCCCAAAGTGCTGGGATTACAGGCGTGAGCCACTGCGCCTGGCCACAAATCTTTTTATGCACTATATACATGTGTATACACACACACACACACACGTACATATACAAGTTGAGAAATCTCAGATCTGAAAATCCGAAATCCAAAATGCTCCAAAATCTGAAAATTTTTGAGAGTCATTGTAATGCTCAAAGGAAGTGCTCTTTGGAGCAGTTTGAATTTTGAATTTTTGGATTTGGAGTGCTCAGACAGAAAGTGTAACGCAAATACTTCACAATCCAAAATATTTCTGCTCCCAAGCATTTTGGATAAGGGATACTCAACCTGTGCGCCCACACACACAAATGCACACACACACACACACACACAGCCTATTCTGTTTCTCTGGAGGACTCTAACACAGGTTGTTTGTCTTTGGTTGTTGAGGTGCAGGCGTTCTTTACATATTCAGGATACTAAATCCTTACCAGATGTAGGATTCACAACTATTTCGGTCCCTTTGAGAAGACAGATGCTTAGAGAAGCAATGAGTATGAAGTGGAGTTGGAAGCACAGGGCAGGAGTCCCTCAACACAGATGCTCCCGAGAGCAGGCTTAGCTGGCTGATGTATGGTGGAGCCCATTGCACCTGGCACTGAATAGGTTCTCAATAAAGAGTTGTCAGTAAAAATGAGCAACTACATTTGGATGTTGGGTGGGAATAAACAAGGCTTCCCAGAAGGAGCCTCACTGAAGCTGAAGCCTAAGGCTGGTGTAGCAATGAGCCAGGCAGAGGAGAAACAGTGATGTGGCCGAAGGAATAGCTTATGTGAGGGCCCAGAGGAGAGGGAGGACATGGCAGTTTTGAGGAATGGCACATTTTATGTAGTTGAAGCAGAGAATGCAGGGAATGAATGTGGGGTTGCAGGGCTAAGGTGGGAGGTGAGAGAGGAGAACGCAGGAGAGTCGCGAGAAAGGGGAAACGGTGAAGTTGGAAGGGATCAGACATGAAAGGTTTTGTGGGCTGTAAAGGAGTTTGGGGCCCTCTGCGAAAGGGGGAGGAAGAACAAAGCTATGAAGTGTTCATGAATGAATGGCAGCCATAAGAAGGCCCAGTGCTCTCAGGCCCCCGGGAGGATGCAGGGGAAGCTGACTCTTCCAGGCTCCTTGCAATTTAAATTCTGGCTCTGTTCTCCATCAGGCAAAAAGTGGGGTCAAACAAGTGGATTCAGGAGTCTCAGCAAAGCTACTTAAGCTGCATTTCCTCATCTGTATGACAGGGGCTGTGAGGAGCCTGCAGGCTCCAGTGACAAACTAGAGGATCGTGTCCTAAGCCCCCAAATTTGACCCTCACAAGATCCCAAATAAAGGACACAGAGAGGACACATTCCTGCGAATGACTTCCCTGAGGAGGGAACAGAGAGGGGAAACTGAAGGAGGGTAGGGCAACCGAGAGTGGAAATTGACGGGGGGCCTTTTGCGGCACAGTTCAGGGTCCAGGCGGGCTGCCCAGGCCTTCCTCCTCTGTCGGCACTGAGGCAGGAAGATAAGAAGGGAGCCAGGAACACCAGGCCTCTGTCCCATTTGCCGAACCACCTCTTGTAAACAGTCTTCTGGGTCTAAATAAACCAACATCAGATTCACCCAATTTGAATCTTCCCAGACTAATGCGTCTGCGTGGCCGCAGATGCCTTGGGGACGGGGAATCTTTAATGGGAAAGCAAAGAGGGAAAGAGGCTGAATGCTTTGAGAAGTGATTTCTTCGATGAAGTCATCCTCTAAAGTGGTTAGCTGTGTCCGGCACAAGTAGGCACTCAGAAATCATTTGTCAAGTCAGTGAATACATGTTTGCAATTTTCACTTTTATTGGCTGTGTGGTTTGGGCAAGGTGCCTAACCTCTCTGAACCTTCCTGTATAAAATAGAGAGACATCTCTTCCGTGGATGGCTGCAGTGTGGATTAAGACATGGTGCCTTAGTCCATTTGGACTGCTGTAAAAAAATACCTTAGACTGGGTAATTTAAAAACAACAGAAATTCATTGCTCACAGTTCTGGAGGCTGGGAAGTCCAAGATCAAGGTGCTAGAAGACTTGGTGTCTGGTGAGGGCTCTCTGCTTCATAGATGGTGTCCTGTTGCTATAGCCTCACATGGTGAAAGGGCAAAGGGCTAGGAACCTCCCTTAGGGCTCTTGTATGAGGGCATTCATCCCATCCATGAGGGCTTCTCTCCCATGTCCCATCACCTCCCAAAGGCCCCACCTTCTAATACCATCACCTTGAGAGTTGGGTTTTGACTGTGGATTTTGGAGGGACACAAACCTTCGGACCATAGCAGATGGTATATGCAAAGTGTCCAGCAAGAAGGAGGGAGATGCAGATTTGGCATCCAGCTCTGTCCAGCCGCAGAGCTATAGCCCTGCACAGTCATATTATCCAGGGTCAGGTTAAGAGCAGAGGGCAGCTCAATCCTGACTTTCCCACCCATCCTTCCTCTCCGTGGAGTCTTTGTTCTGATGCTCCTGGCTCTTCCTTCCCCGCTGAGTCCCCTGTCTTCTAGCTCTGGGACATCAACGCATCCAGGGAGCCAGTGATCATTCATCACTCGATGAAGCTGGGCTGCTCCCAGCTCTTATTAAAACCACTCAGAGACAGATTGATTTGGGGCCCTTCCTCCAGCCTGAGCTTTCTCCTTCCTGCTCCCAGCCTCTAAGACAAAAAGGCATAGAGATAAACAGCAAGCCTCCTATGATCATGACAATGAAGAGAAGGAGCTGCATTCAGCTGATGAGAAAACCCGGAGGCGGCTGGTGGGGCAGGTGTCAGGGCAGTGGGTGGCTGGAGACTGAGGAACTGGAGCCCAGTGATACCGGGCCACAGAGGGGTATGCTGGGCAGGGAGGACTTCCTGTCATGCCTGCATTCCTTACTGAGTTAGCAGGTCCCTATGGATGGCACTATGGCAGGGGTGGGGCAGCAGGGGCCTGGGGCCAAGCCCCGTTCTGCTCTGCACTGCTATGTGGCCTTGAGTGAGTCACAAGCCATGTTGGGCCTTTATGGCCACATGTGCATCAGGATGGGTGAAGCCCAGCATCTTTTTGGTGCCAGGTTCTGGGATTTAGCAGGACCCCTGCAGACATGCCCTACTTTCAGGCATTGCATGGTCTTTGGGAGGGGTGGACAGGAATCAGATTGTCACATATTGGTTTTTTTTTTTTCATTTCACTCACAAGACTGGTGCAGGGGCTCTAACCTCAGCTTGGGGTGACGCTCCAGAGTAGATTCCTGAGGATGAAGAGGACTGAGCCAGGGAAAAGGGGGTTGGGGAGGACAGGGAGGCAGAATGGTCCAGGCTGAGGTAGAAGGGCTGGGATAGAGGCTGGGTCATGCCCGTAGGCAGGAACTCTGTGTTTGGCTCTGGGATTTGATTCTATAGATTGGGCAGTCGCTGGAAAGATTTAAGCAGAACAATGTGACTTGATCCATGTTTTGGAAAGAGCCCTTGGGCTCTGGGTGGAGAGGGGAGAGGGAGGGGGAGAGGAGGCCAGGAGACAGGCTGGGGACCACTGCAGTGGTCCATGGACACCAGGGCGGTCCCAACAGTGTCTCCCAGAGACCGGGAGAAGCCAGCCCCCTCGACACGGTGAACGTTGCAGTGTAGAAAGATGCCAAACCTGTGTTACAGACACTGACTGGATATTAGCCGTGTTTGAACAGATGCCCGTGTCTGAATTGGAGGCTCTTTACAAATGGGAGACTCAGGCTGCCAGGCTCTGTCATGCCCAATCCCACCCGTGATGGGGCCCAGATTCAGGTGGTGGCCAAGGCCAAGAGAAACGGTCGAGTGGAGCACGACGTGGGAGGCAGGAGGAAGAGGGCTTGGTGAATGACTGCCGGGGTCAGCAAGGCTCTCCCTTGTCATTTCACCTCCCCCGCCACACTCCTGTGCTTCCCTCCCATCCCCCCTCCACACAAGATGCCCACTGCTGTCACCCTGCGCTGTGCAGTGGTATGTTGGGTCATTAAGCCCTGCATTTAATTCCAGCTCTGCCTCTTGCTGGCTGTGTGTCCCCAGAGGGCCTTGGCTTTCTTGTCTGTAAAGGGGGTAATGGTACTGCTTATTGCTGAGGCTTGTTGAAAGGAGGAAATGAGATGTTGTGGTTTAGTAAATAGAACCCTCCCACCCCCAAAGTGGCCGCCATTACTGCTGCCTCTGTTATCCTGCAGCCGCAGCGCAGGGGCCCTGAGCCCTTGCAGGGAAGACATTTCCTCCTTGATCTGCCCAGGCCCCAGACAGAGTCTTTTCAAAATAGGGTCTTGGAGCTAATGCCTTGCATCCCCCAGGAGGTCAAAGGGCCGTGCTCTCTGACACGTGGCTGCTGCGCCATTTGCTGCCCTGAGTCTGAACTGCATGGTGTGGGCTGTCATGCAGGTGCAGAACAAGAGGCACTGAGGCCACTCCAGGCCAGCGGGCAGCTGTCAACTGTCATCCTGACCTGCCTGTCCCTCGCAGGGCTCTGACCTGGTTTCCGGGTGAAATGCTCCCGCTCCCCAGCCCCAGCCCCTCCTCCTGCATTCCACACAGACCCAGCATGGGGTGGGCCCTCTTCCTCTTCCCCAACCCCACTTCAGTGTCCAGAGTTGGGCCCTCTGAGAACCCCCACATGAAGACCCAAGTCTGCATTGGTCCTGACTGTTGTCACGAGCATATGTGTGTACCAATGCCCTCACGCCTCCCCACGTGTACACGCACACTCATGCACATTCCCACTCCCACGCCCATTCCCGCGTGCTCCACCTCTGGCTCACTTGCCACCTTTGTGCAGGCCCTGGCGCCTGGTTGAGCCCCCGGCAGGGCAGCCCTTTGGGGTTTGCTGCTGTGTTGACCCAGTTTCCAGTGTTGGCCTTGAGTCCTCTCCCAGGCCTGGGCCTGCTTGCTCTGAGCCTGGCTACCACCCTGGATGAGGGCCTGCCCATTCCTGCCCTTCAGCCTGCGTCCTGATGGGCTGTCTGCCCCGGGCTGGGCCCTCAGGGAGAGCCTTCCTGACAGCCCTGCCTAAGGGCAACACCTCAGAGAGCAGGGGAGGTGCAGGGCATGGGGTCTGGTGAGAGAGAGACTAACACTCCAATGCCCCCTCTCCACCCAGGGAAATCTAAAATAACCTCCCCAGGGCTGTCTTGGGGAACAGCAGAAGCCCTTCTGTAGGGACGTGGCCATGTTCACCCCCAGCATCTGTCCCCACTTTTCATTTCCACAGGGACACCCCTCTCCCACTCTCAGGCCGTGAGCCTTGTGGGTGACCAACTCCACCTGTCTCCAATCAAGATCCCTCCTCCTGGCCTCTGTGTCTGACTCAGGAAGGGACACAGGCTCTGGAGGTGATGCTGGGGTTGGGGTCCTGGATCCTCCCCGTGGTGGCTGTGTGACTTTTGGCCAACATTTAAATTCTACATGCCTTAGCTTCCTCATCTATACAAGGGATGTAATAATAGCATGCATTTCACAGTGCTGTTGTGCAGATGGAATCCTGTAAAGGACTCAGCACAGAGTAAGTGCTCAGTAAATGTTACCTACTAGTATTAATGGGACTAAATCTGGGGACTTCTGATAGAGTGGCTGGGAACAAGAAGTTCTTTTTTTTTTGCTGGTAATGCTGAATGTTCACCTTGAGTTGCTGGGGGAATCTTGCCATCACGAAGGGAGAGCCCTCCTGATAACAAATTCAGCACAAAGAAAAGCAGTACTCAGAGAGAGGAAAAGAGGGACTTAGTCCTGATGATATCACTTGAGTCCCTTGATCCAGCTGTTCCTGAAGACCTTCCCTTAACTATTCAGGCACATAAGCCAGTCAAGTCCTTTGTTTCCTTCCTTCTTAGCTTAAGTTACTTGAGTTGGGGTTCTGTCATTTGTAAAAAAAATTCTTAATGGTATCCATCCATCTATGTGTCTGTCCATCCATCCACCCACCCATCCATCCATCCATCCATCCATCCATCCATCCCCCCACCCATCCACCCATTCATCCATCGTCCATTCACCCACCCATCCATCCATTTACCCATCTGCCCACCCATCTACTCACCCATCCATCTATCCATCTATCCACCCACCCATCCACCCACCCATTCATCTACCCACCCATCCATCCATCCATTCATCCACCATCCATCCATCCCCCCACCCATCCACCCATTCATCCATCGTCCATTCACCCACCCATCCATCCATTTACCCATCTGCCCACCCATCTACTCACCCATCCATCTATCCATCTATCCACCCACCCATCCACCCACCCATTCATCCACCCACCCATCCATCCATCCATCCATCCATCCATCCATCCATCCATCCATCCACCTACCCATCCACGGACCTGCATTCAAATCCCAACACTAGCAAATCCTGTATTTGTGGGCTTAGACACATCACATCCCCTCTCTGAGACTCAGTTTTTCAGAGAATGGGAGTTTCATCACCTACCTTATGGGGTGGTTTTAGGGAGTAAGTGGGTAACCTCTGTAGAGTTCCATGCTTAGTACTTAGAACAGAAAAGAGACTGTTCCCTTCCATTCCCTCCTATCACAACTTTTCTAACTGTTGAAATCCAGCCCCCACCCCCTGCCCAGATGCATCTGGAAAGCCAATGCCTGACCAGGCCTGGGTCTTCCTGAGCAAGCAGAGTCTGACTGGTACAACCTTTATTGCTTCTCCAGCATTTTCCAGAAGAATGGTGTCATTAGAGGGCCACAGGGGATGGGGGAGTAAAAAATAACATAAACGAACTGAACAGAAATGCAGGAGGGTGGCGAGAGGGGCCGAGATTGGGTGTTCAGGGCAGAGAGGTGGAAGACCAGGGGCAGTCAGTGCTTCTTAGCTTTCAGCCACCAGAGTGGAGAATTCTGCAGAACAAAATGACAAGGAAAGTGAGTCAGAGGCGGGGATGCAAGAGAGACTGTCCACACCTGACTGCGGGGCCCTGGGTGGTGCTCTCTCTGGGTTCTTGCTTCTGCTGCAGCAGCCCCAGAGCGTAAGTGTGAAAATGAATGAATGAATAAATGAATGAATGAGCAGATGAGTGAAGTGAGGTGGGAAATGATGGGCCTACCACATCTTTTGGTTCATCATGCCATGCCACACCCAAAATCATTAATAATAACTACACTAATAACAATAGCAATAATAATAATAATAGTTTTCTGAATGCTTATCATATGCCAGGCACTATTCGAAACACTTTATATGCAATATCTTATTTGACTCTGACAATAGTCCTGTCTGGTGCATTTTGGCATTGTTCCTGTTCTACAGATGAAGAAACTGAGGCTCAGGGTCCTGATTTCTGGACTTCTCTGCTGTTTTTCTCCCCAGGAGATGAGAGAGGACAAGGAGTTTGCTGCCACGTGCCACTACGTGTCTCTGAGATGCCATGTCTCAGCCTGCTGGGGAGTGTAGGGTCTCAGGCAAGTGCCCATCGCCCTAGAAAATGCAGTGTTGTCTTGGCTGGGCACAGTGGCTCACGCGTGTAATCCCAGCACTTTGGGAGGCTGAGGCAGGTGAATCACTTGAGGTCAGGAGTTTGAGACCAGCCTGGCCAACATGGTAAAACCCTGTATCTACTGAAAATGCAAAAATTAGCTGGGTGTGGTGGCGGACGCCTGTAATCCCAGCTACTCCAAAGTCTGAGGCAGGAGAATTGCTTGATCCCAGAAGGCAGAGGTTGCAGTGAGCCAAGATCGTGCCACCGCACTCCAGCTTGGGCAATAGAGTCAGACTCTGTCTCAAAACAAACAAAAAAAAGAAAAGAAAAAAGAAAATGGAGTGTTGTGATGTGGGGAGAGCACAGGCTGGGGATTGAAAGTTAGGGCTTCCAGGCTTAGTCTGGCCCTATTTGCTGGAAAATGTATCTCTCTGGGTTTTGGTTCCCTCATCTGTCAGTGGAGTGAAGAGAGGGGCCAGTAATAATTGCTTGGGTGAGACAAATAAAAAACTGGTCGTGAAATGGCTTCAAAAAGGCCACAAAAAGTATCTGAGACTCATTTGAGGTGAGCTGCGTCCTCCCTGGACTTTGTGTGGAATACAAATGTAAAACCCCACCTATCCAGTTTCTTAGTTTTCATCATTGTACTGTGGTTATGTAAAATATTAACATCGGGGGAGCTGGGTGAAGGGTGTACAGGACTCTCTGTACTATCATTTCAATTCTTCTGTATATCTACAATTATTTCAAAATAAAAAAGTGAAAACACACACACACAAAAGCCAAACCAACACATGCTGTATTGTAGAAATAACCTGGCACTGGGCTGGGCACGGTGGCTCGCTCCTGTAATCCCAGCACTTTGGGAGGCTGAGGTGGGCGGATCACGAGGTCAAGAGATCGAGACTATCCTGGCCAACACGGTGAAACCCTGTCTCTACTAAAAATACAAAAATTAGCTGGACGTGGTGGCGCACACCTGTAGTCCCAGCTACTTGGGAAGCAGAGGCAGGAGGATTGCTTGAACACAGGAGGCAGAG
The DNA here is from genome assembly GCF_000001405.40 of Homo sapiens. Lineage (NCBI taxonomy): Eukaryota > Metazoa > Chordata > Mammalia > Primates > Hominidae > Homo > Homo sapiens. The sequence continues at coordinate 23,324 of NT_187631.1, forward strand.
GTTGCAGTGAGCCGAGATCGTGCCACTGCACTCCAGCCTGGTAACAGAGTGAGACTCCATCTCACACAAAAAAAAAAAAAAAAAAAAAAAGAAAGAAACAACCTGGCACTGGCCCTGGCTAGATGAAGGGACACGTACCTGGGTGCCTCACCTTCCTGAGGTTTGACTTAGGAAATAGACATCATCCTTTCCTGTCCCCAGGCTGTCCTAGGATAGGAAAAGTGGGTGACCTGGATATGGGGGATGCAGGGTGGGAGAGAGTGAGGGTCCACCAGCTGGTTTTGAAATCTCCAGGCTCTCTGGCTGAGTGGTAACAGCAGTGCCAAGGATGGAGTCTCAAATAAATACCAAAACAACAAATACTCGTACAGAATCCCTCCCATAGGGCAGGCGTCAAAGTGCTTGCTTTCTCAGCCAGGAGCCTGTGATCTTCCAGGACCTCGGTGGGGCAGGTGGTTATTTTGAGATGTCTTTTATTAGCAGTACTTTTATTAATTATAGCTAGTAACTAACATTTATCGAATGCCAATGTGGGAAGCATTTTGCATATATTATCTCATTGAATCCTCATGACTACTCCATGGGAGAGACACCTTTGTCTGCATTTTACAGATGGGGAAACTGAGGCTCAAAAATTAAGTAGCTTGACCATGACATGATTCAAGCTAGAAATGCTCTTAGGCTTCCTTCTTCATCCCTGTAGTTTCCGACCTACTTTGACCTTGGTATAGAGTGACACATGTCCCAGCTCAAATATCACCATCCCATCGCATTAGTCCTTTTTTATTTACTTCATAGTCCTTGGCACTCTCTGAAATGATCTTATTTATGCACTTATTTTTGTCAGTCTCCCCCTACTAGAATGCAAACTCTAGAGGGCAGGGGAGCCTCTCTCTTGTTCACTGTTCTCCTGGCAGCCACAGTGTTCCTGGCACACAGTAGGTGCTCATAAATAAGCTCTGGGTGGATGGATGGAGGGATGGATGGACAGATGGAGGGAGGGATAGAGGGATGGATGGATGGGGGGTAGATGGATGGATGGATGGATGAGGAATGGGTGGATGGAGGGATGAGGAATGGATGGATAGAGGGATGGATAAAGGGAGAGAAAGATGAATGGATGGATGGGTGGGTGGGTGGATGGATGGATGGATGGATGGATGGATGGATGGATGGGTGGGTGGTTGGGTGGGTGGATGGGATAGCTCACGAGTCCTTCTTAGGGATCAACAAGTTCTGACTTACTTTATATAATTCACATGACAGTCTGGGAGGATTCTAATTTTATAGATGGGGAAATGGAGGCTGGGAAGGTGAGGTGTCAGGGTCATGTGGAAAACAAGAGGCAGAGCCAGGACTTGGCCTCTGGCCTCAGGAACCTGCTACATGAATGTGGAGAGGCTACTCCTGAGAGGGCTAGTGTCCCAGCTCAGGCAGAAGCATGAACCCTCTACAGCTTCAACCTGTCATTTCATCCAGCACTGGCATTCCCTGTTTGGGGGCACTGAGTTTCTCTGTCCTGGGATAAAGGATGCATGAGCCTGTCCATCACCGCCTGCTCATGGAGAGATTGTCAAGAGGGGAAGCTGGTCCTCTCTGTTTTCCAGCCTGCCCTGACCCCTTCATCCTCACTCTGGAAATTATGGGCTCTCAGGCTGCTCATCGGTAAATAGCCCGTTGGTCACCTTCACACTAGACGGGATTTGGTGCAGCTGGTGTGACGGGGACCCAGGGACACCAATGAGGGACTCTCCGGTGACGGAAAGTCAGACATTTTGGAGCCAGACTTTGGGAGGTACTTTGGAGCTGTGGGGTTTTTGAAAGCCTCTTAAATCAGCCCCTCTGCCCACCCTGCAATCTGTTCTCAAGCAGCCAGGACATCACAGTAGCCACATGCGCTGGCCTTCGGCAGAGAACACGGAATTCTAATTTTATCCCCTCAGAACCTTCAATAGGGGACTTTGTAGATAAATTGAGGGCAGGAGCCACCCCTTCCGTGCCTTTCCTATCTGCCTCAGGGCTGAGCTCTTAGGAGCCAGCCAATTAACGAACAGGTCTCCTAGCCAAACCCTTCCTCTAAAATGCCCAGGTCTCTCCTTAAAGAAAAACAAATGACTGGCTGGGTGCAGTGGCTCATGCCTGTAATCACAGCACTTTGGGAGGCTGAGGTGGGCAGATCACAAGGTCAGGAGTTCGAGACCAGCCTGATCAACATGGTGAAACCTCGTCTCTACTAAAAATACAAAAGTCAGCCGGGAGTGGTGGCGCGCGCCTGTAATCCCAGGTACTCAGTAGGCTGAGGCAGGAGACTAGCTTGAACCCGGGAGGTGGAGATTGCAGTGAGCTAAGATCACACCACTGCACTCCAGCCTGGGTGACAGAGCAAGACTCTGTCTCAAAAACAAACGAACAAACAAACAAACAAACAAAGACTACACAAAGATCCTGTAAACTCTAGGTCAGCTGAATTGGTGGTAGGTAGGATCCCAGGATGGGGAATGTAGCTTTGAATGGTCGGGTTCTAGTCTTGGCTTTGCCATCTGCTGCTGTCCCTGGACAAGATGCCTCATCCTCCCTGGTCTTGCTTTTCTTATGAGTGAGTGTTGGGTCTAGAAGACGCCTTTCCAGCTGTCACACGGTGTTTGGAGCAAGCAAGCTGGGGGTAACTCCCAGCTCCCATTTCTTGTTCCTGTGACCTTCGACTAGATGCTTCACCTCACCTGTCAAATGGAGCTCATGATAGTGCCCACTTCCTTAAGTTGTTCAGAGGAGCCAGCACTAAAGCTCTCGGTCACAGGCCTGATGCATAGCAAGCTCTCGGTATCTGGTGGTGTTGCAACCAAGGTGTTTCTGTACTTCAAGCCACTTTAAAACCAAGCCTATAAACGCCTAGTTGCTGCCCGGCAGAAGCAGGAGGCTCTAAATGGTATTGTAACTGGTATTTGTTAGCATCATCGTTGTTCTTGTTGCCATTGTTTGTCTCCATGATCCCAGCATTTCCTGCCTCCGCCCTGGCACCTACCTACAATCATCCAGCAACCCTGGACCTACATCTGAATCTTGTTCCATCACTATCTGGCTAGGTGGCCATCAGTCACTACTTTAGCTCTCTGAGGCTCAGCTTTCTCATTTGTAAAGTGGGTATAATAATGCCTGTTTGGATGGCTATTAGAAAGACCAGATGGGGTAGTACGCCTGGCACACAGTAACTGGTTTATAAGTGTTAGTTCCGCCTCCCGTGTGGATCTCCCCAGCACAACAGACACAGGTTGGAGCTTTGACATAACATTAACTACGAAAGTCCTGAAACTAAGCAAGACAAGGAAGATATAAACAGAGGGCACGGAAAGCCTAAAGAGCAGCCAGCTGACCTGGTACAAGTTTCCGACCCATCTATCCCATCAGAGCTAGCATCCCACCTCCGGCACATCCATCCGTGGCAACTTAGTTCCTGATCCTCAGTTTCCTCATCTATAAAATGGGGATACTGGGACTATCTCCTTATAGGGTTATGGTAAGGGCTCCATAAGATAATGGAGAAGGAGTGCCCAGCACAGTGCCTGGCACACAGTGGGAATGCGACTAAATCAACTCTTAATGTTGACAGGTAGAAGAGACAGTCTTCCTTTGGAGGTATCCAGAATGGTCATTCTCTTCTAAGACATGAAAGGACAGCAGTACTTTTGCAGTCTAAATCCTCGCCCAAGACCCTCTGGGGCCAGCTTGCAGATGTCATCATTGTCCAACCAGAAAGCGACAAAGGAGGTAGATGGTAGGGATGGGGGTGGGAAGGAGGCAGCAGAGGGAGGATCAGAGGACTAGAGGATTCTGTTCTTTTCTTTCCCTTAGGAAACTGAAATTAGCCTAATTAGGTCTGTCCCAGTCCAAGGCCGCGGGGATTGGACAAATTTAGAAGCTATTGACAGGTGAGAGCAACACACGCTGATGGCCCAAAGCGAAACTGAGCCGGCCATTGAGTCAGCGGCTGGAAGGCTCTTTCCCTCCCTCTGTCGTGATGACCGGGATGAAGGAGCCGGCCTCCTGGTTTATCACCTCACCTCTAAATAGCTCCCGGGCTCGGTTTCTTATAAATTGGTATCTCAAACAGGGATCACCTTCCCATCCCGGAGAACTGGGAGGCAGAGTCACTCCGGGTCAAGCCAGACAGCCACAAGGAGGCCGCGTCAACAGTTCTGGGGCTCACTCTGTACCAGGCACCGCACGGTGTGTTATTCCATTTCATCCTCGTCGGCTCTCTTATCTTCATTTTGTTTACAGAGAAACTGAGGCTGAGTGTCACTGTGTCACTCAGCTAGGAAGATTCTAACAGGCGTGGCTGGGGCCAGGGTGCGTCTCTTCCTCAAAGGTTGGAGTTAAATGGTCCTGGTTCTGACTCAAGCTGCAACCCCCAGAGGCAGAAGGAGAGGGATGCATGGAGGGGAATGTCTTTTTCCACCAAGCAGCTGCTCCCTTTCACAAGAGGCCAGTTATGTAAGGAAGGCTGCTTCCTCTCCCCTTGCTAAATCTTTTCTAGTGCAGCATAAGGCCAGAGCTAGGGAAAGTCCACACGGGAATAAAAAGAGCAGATTGCTAAGCACAGAAGCCATTTATAACTAAAACGTCTCAGCTCAGCTTAGGGGAGGGAGTGGTGGAGTCAGGAGACCCGGGTCCCGTTGGGCCAAGGACTTCTATGTGACTTTGGCACTTACTGTCTACGGGGCCTCAGTTTTCAAGTCTCTCAGTGGGCATCACAGTGTCCCCTAAACCTCATTGAGCTGGTACCAGGGTGCAATGAGATGGGACAAAGCATCGTGCACCTTAGGGCTCTGCCCTCAAAACCCTGGGCTAGCCTTGATCTGAGCATCCTGTCCTACTTAGAAATCAAATCCCCATAGAGGCCGGAGGGCTAGAATTACAGGGAGAACGGCAAATTCTCCTTCTATCTCTCTCACTTTTCTCCTGCTTTAGACTCAATTTCCTTTCTGTTGAGGATTGAGATTCCACCACTTTTAAAAGGTTTTGGGTGGCTTACGAGCAAAACATTCCCATAAAATAAGAGGAAAGGAATCATTTCTAGAACATTCTCTTCATTCGAGCAACAGCCCTGTAAGGTGTGTATTTTTCTCCCCACTTTCCAGGTGTGGGAATGGATGTCCTGAGAGAGGAAAAGATACAGCCATTCCCACGGCTGATCCCCAGCATTTGGCTTTCTAATTTCTGCCTGACTCAGGTGCTCCACCACAGCCCAAGGCCTTACGCTACCACTCCGCCTCTCACGCCTCTCACGGTAAATAGGCTACTTAAGGATAAAAGGGAACAGATTTTGCCAGAGGGAAGCAGAAAAGGCAAATTCCTTCAGGCATGCGAGTGAGTGGCAAGGGGTGGGGGGGTTGCAAGGTTAGGCAATAATGATGACTACATGTTTCAGCAACAGAAGCAAAATGCAAACCCCAAACTCTTGAGTTGAGACACACTTAAAGCAGAGGGCAGTGGATCCATCGCCGGGAATGGGTTTCAGGAAGAATGTAACTAGGACTGCGTGCAGGCACGTGTGCACACGGGGCATGCGGATCTTCTCTGCAGCAAGATATTAGGAGTCAAGGTTTGAAGAGGGCCCTGAGGCTTCACAGCAAGTCGCTCTGCTTCCCGGGGCCTCAGATTCCTTGTATGTATCAGTAACAAAAATATCTTGTAGAGCTGTTGGGAGGTTTGAATGAGTTAAAAGATGTAAGGCCTGTGTGCTGTACTTGGCACACAGGAAGTGGGGATGAATGCTAACCTCGATTCCTGTTGGTCAACACACTCTGCGGGGGCAGGCATTGAGTTTGGAAGGCCCAGGCTGGGGACACATGCTCGTGTGAGGCAGGATGGCAGAGGGTCCTGGCTGGACCACCGAGCCTCAGTTCTAGCTCTGCTACAGAGAGACCCTGGGCATGTCACTTCTCACGATGCCTCAGTTTCTCCACTTGCAAAATGGGGATAGTGACGGCATCTACTTCCTAGGATTATTGTAAGGCAGTGGTCTTCTAAGTGTGGTTCGCCAGATCATTAGCACCATCTGCTAACTTGTAAGAAATGCAAAAGTGTGGGCTCCACCTAAGGAATCAGAAACTCCTGGGGTCTGGCACAGCCATCTGTGTTGCCATAGGCCCTCCAGGTGATGCTGACACCCGCTCCCAGCTGGAGACCTGTTGTGAAGGTGAAGTGTTTGAAAAGCCACCTGCCACATAGTCTGCTTTGTCTGCTTTTTATGCCTGGGCTTTGCAACTGCAGGTGCTTTAACAAAGATTTTTTTTTGGCACCCTTCACCTCTTTTTCTAGCTTCTCTTTCCTTTTCAGCCTTAAGCCCTCCCCATGTCAGCTCTGCACCAGCCTTTTAGGGTGGCCTTTGAGAATGAATCAACCACATCTATAAAAGCCTTTGAGCTTCCTGGAAGTAGTTGCCCCAGAGACGGGAATGCAAAGGGTTATTATTAGAACTTTGTCTTCCTACCCCCTCCCTTCAATACAGGATCTTCAAGAAACTGATAAGTATCACTCACCTTCAGAAGGACAAACAGAGCAGGGAAGAGAGGCAGTCCCTGGTTTGGGCTCCCTGGCACCTGCTACAGACAAGTCTCCACAGATCCCCAACCTTGGCTTGCAGATCATCTCCCACTACATACAGCAGTTATGATCCTCATCACTGCACAGTGCTGCCCAGAGCTGGGTACTTGTTCATTCATTCATTCATTCATTCAACCAAATACACTTTTCTTTTTCTCCCACTATGGGCCAGGCCCTATTCTAGGTGCTGGGATTAGAACTGAAAAAAACAAAGTTCCTGCTCAGTGGACCTGACATCTTAGTGGAGGAGAAAGAAATAGGCAATAAGTCAATAAATATAATCATCTTATAGTAAATTAAACTATGAATGAATGAATGAATGAATGAAGCAGGCAGCACAGGTCACGTGCTTCGGAGCTCAAAAGACCCGACTTTCAGACTTTGATCTTTTCTCTTCCTAGCCTAAAGGGTTTATGCAAGCCCTTAGCCTCTCTGAGCCTCAGTGTGCTCATCTATAAAATGGGAATCATAATAGTATACACTTCAGAGATAGCTAGGAAGATTAAATGAGTGAAATGCTAAGCACGGTGCCTGGCACATATTGAGCGCTCTATGAACTTAGATGCTATTGCCATCATCACTCAAGGTCACGCAGCTGAGCCAAAATAGTGAAGTGGTCTTCTGTGTAGAGGTTTATCCACTGAGACATCTGTGAAATCCCGGGGCTGGAACGCACCCCAGTAATTGGCTAGTGATCTGCCCCATGTCCCATGTTTTTTTTTTTTTTTTTTGGTTTTTCGTTTTGTTTTGTTTTGTTTTTGAGATGGAGTCTAGCTCTGCTGTCCAGGCTGGAGTGCAGTGGTGTGATCTTGGCTCACTGCAACCTCCGCCTCCTGGGTTCAAGTGATTCTCCTGCCTCAGCCTCTTGAGTAGCTGGGATTACAGGTGTGTGCCACCACGCCTGGCTAATTTTTGTATTTTTAGTAGAGGTGGGGTTTCACCATGTTGGCCAGGCTGGTCTCGAACTCCTGACCTTGTGATCTGCCCGCCTTGGACTCCCAAAGTGCTGGGATTACAGGCATGAGCCACTGCGCCCGGCATGCCCCATGGTTTTAAAGACAAGGCACTTTATGGTCAGAGGGGCTCTGGGACATGCCCCAGATCCCGCCAGGAGTTGAAGGCATCTTCCAGCTATAGGTGGGGCTCGGGCCTTCTGGCCTTTAGAGAGAGTGACAGCAAAGCAGAGTATCTGAAACAGAACGTCCTGGGCCCCAAAAAGGCTCTGCTTCCCATCTCGCTGCCTATTGGGCATCATTGCACCCACCCTTCCTGCGTTAGGGGGTTGGGAGTGAGGAAGGGGGCATCTGCATCTTCCCACCTCAAAAGCATGAAGTGTGGGGCCCCAGTGCCTCAGGGTGGTCTGTGCTCATTGTCTATTTTATGTCTTGCCTATGAGCTCAATGGAGGCTGCACAGGTGGGCCTGGACCATGCTGTTGGGTTTGAATCCTGGCCCTGACACTTGCTGGCATTGTGACCTTGCACTCACTCCCTGGGCTGCCCTTTCTACATCTGCACTTATGTCCTCTGTTGTCCCAAGGTCAAATGAGGTAACCAAACCCAGCACTAGGCTGGACACACATGACATGCCCAGCTAATAATTCTTTCCTCCCATTCTTGGCAAAACAATCTTCTTGCCCCTTTCTGAACATACCCAAAAGTTTCCAGCCTTGGCTGATGCCAATACCTTGCCTGGACCCCACTCCCTCTGTCCCCTACAGCCTGTGGCTTAGCCTCCAAGTCCGTACAAAATGCCTGATGCCTGCGCCTCTGCCTCTGGCTGGCACTATCGCTTGTTTGTGTATATGTGTAGAGCTGCAAGCAATTTGCAGACAATAAAAATGACATTGCATGGCCGGGTGCAGTGGCTCATGCCTGTAACCCCAGCACTTTGGGAGGCTGAGGTGGGCGGATGACTTGAGGTCAGGAGTTCGAGACCAGCCTGGCCAACATGGTGAAACCTCGTCTCTACTAAAAATACAAAAATTAGCTGGGGATGGTGGTGCGTGCCTGTAATCCCAGCTACTCAGGAGGCTGGGGGAGGGGGGAATTGCTTAAACCCAGGAGGCAGAGGTTGCAGAGAGCTGAGATTACACCACTGCACTCCAGCCTGGGTGACAGAGAGAGACTGTCTCTAAATAAATAAATAAATAAATAAATAAATAAATAAGGCATTGCAGTGGCCATTTATTGAGCATTTGTTATGTGCTGGGCACTACAGGCCACATTTCCATGTTATAATGCCTAGTTTACAGATGAGGAAGCTGGGGCTCAGGGCTAAGGAGTAGCTGCTCAGGGGCACCCAGTCAGGAAATGGGCCTGAATTATTTTTACCTCTTCCATTGCCGGGCACAGAGTTGCTACTCAGTCAACATCTGCTGGATCTGTTAGAAGAGTTTAGTTGATGCCTTAAGATCTGAGTGTGGCAGGGAGGGAGGGAGGGAGGCAGGGAACTGGGCCAGGTTTGGCTGGTTTCTCTTCATCAGGTAGGTTTTCTGTGAGCAGTCAGCCATGAAGACCCAGCCCAGGGCTTCTGAGGTATGGCATATTGGCTGCAAATAAAAATGGAAGGCAGGTCTGGAGGCCAGGGTCAGGGTTCAGATGGGAGCCAGGCCTTGGGGTGGAGCTGTCTGATAAGCAGATTGGTGGGGATGGGGGTGTGAGGGAGGATCTGCCAAGCACCAGAAGCCCCAGGAGCGGCCAAGCCAATGATGCCTTTCCAATACCCTCTGCTCCACTCCTTTAAAACCACCTCCCTCCTTCCCAGCCACAAGAAGGGCAGCTGGCATCAGATGGCCAGGGGACCCCCTGCATTTGACCTGGATAGGGATTCTCCATTCTCGTTACTGGCAGGAAACAAACAAACAGAAAAGAAATCAACAACAACAACAACAAAAAAAACCCTCTAACTCATAGGCATACACCTACTTTCATAATCCTTGTACCTTTCCCAAAGCAATTTTGGGTTCACAGAATCTTAATTTTCACAACAAGCCCAAATAGGTCTTAGGAGAAGCTGATGCACCCCATTTGCCGGGCAAGGGAACGTAGGTGTGCAGAGGTGACGTGTTCAAGGTCACAGCTGGCAAGGGGCAGAGAAGGAGCAGAGCATGGGGGTCTGGGCTTTACACTCAGGCAGCGGATGTTTATGAAGCACCTGCTCTGTGTGGGGTATTGGCTAGATACTGGGGCTAGAAGGATGAATGCAACCCAATCCCTAGTTTTAAGTTTTACATCCACTTATATGTTGGATGTAAGTGGGTAGAACGTGAAGATTCTAGACAGAAGGTACCCTTGCGAAGGGACCTAGTTTTAAAAAAATTAGCTAACAAATACATATATAACATTTACTCTGTGCCAGACACTGTTCTAGGCACTTTACATATTAACACATCTAACCCTTGTAATCACCCTGTAAGAATTATCATTCTATTCAGTTCAGAGATGAGAAAACAGAGGCTCAGAGTAGTTATCAAATTACGCAAGGTCACACAGCTCGAAAGTGGTAGGGCTGGGATTTGAACCCAGATAGCCTGGGGCCCAGAGGCCAAACACCTACACACAGTTTTCTCTGAGACCAGCAGAAAAGCCTATTATGGGAACAAATGGCAGCTTAGTATGTTGCAAACACTCATTCAGGCCTGGTTCTAAATCCCCACTCCACCGCTATGTCCTAGCTCTTTCAACTAGGCTAAGCACCTTCAAAGTCCATTTGCCCACCTGCAAAATGGAGATAATTCCGGAGAAAATCATAAGCTAAGAGAGATAGCAATGTGGGTGTGCTCCATGAATGCCACACAGAGCCAAATGGAGAAAGGAGTGGACGGTGGGCCACTGGTCTCTCACCTGTGCTGACATTGAAGCCTGCAAAGCAAGGCAGGGCCAGGTATTCCCTGTCTGAATTCCCCACTGATTTCTGGTTTACTGTTTTTCCTGGCTCTGCTGCAAGGCTAGAATAGTATATTTGAGTAAAACCCAAACAGGTTTTGAGACTTGGGGTTACAGGACACCAGGACAAGATGCTGAGGAGGACAGGAGATAGGAATTTCCATCCCTGGAATCTGAGGATGTGAGAGGCAGAGGATCCTTGGGGATTAGTCGGCCTCATTTCGTTGGATTAGAGATGGGAGACAGAGGCCCAGCGATCGAGAGACACTGCCCAAGGTCACACAGCCAGTTTGGGCAGAGGTTGGGCCAGTATCCATGCAAAAATGCAGGCAGAGTTCAGGAAAAAAAAATCCCAAATCCTCCTGGATCCCCTACCCAGCAGGAAAAACAGAATCTATTCCTTTTAGGTTTTCAAATTAGGAAAATACACCAGTTTTCCTTTGTCTGGAGTATGTGGCAGAGCTCTCAGACCTAATGGACTGCTTTTTGTCTTCTAATCTGGGGGAGTGAGGGACCCCCATATCATCCCTTCCTTGTGACAGACATAGCTTCAAACTTTTCGCATCCAACACCCCAAGATCCACAATATGCCCAGACCCCAGGTCACGGCTACCCACCGTCAACCCCAATTTTGCCGTCCCCATCTTTGTCTCCAGCAGCCATCAGCATCTTGGTTTCTTTAGCAGACAGGTCTCTGGCATCTGGGGAGAAGCCTTTTAGGATGAATCTGGAGGAGAAAAGGGAGAAAGCCGGTGAGGGAGTCAGGCCGAGGTCGCCTTGCAGGACGCTGGATGGAGGGTGGTCTGGTTTCTGTATGGGGAAAGGGATGGCTGGGACAGGCAGCGAGCAGCAGTCACGCACACGGATGCTCTGGGCCAGGTAGCCTGCTCGGTGGCTGTGCTTTCGTGGGTGAGTATTTAGGAAAGGACAGGCTGTCCTCAGTGAAGGGTTGTCCTCACTTCAGGGAGGGCACCTACATTCGTTAATTTATCCAACAAGTATTCACTAAGTGTCATTTCTGTGTCTGGCGTATGCTGGAAAGTGGGGTCACAGTGGTGATCTTCGGAAGGCACTGGAAAAAATAAGGAGGTCACGGGCTCCGAGAGAGACCACACAGTGTGATGGGCCGTGGAGGAGGGCACTCAGAAGCTGTATCTGCCCACCTGCGGTGAGGGGAGGAGAGGGGAGGCTTCCTGGTGAAGGTGATACCTGGAGGACAGGGGGAAGTCAGCCTCTGTGAGTGTGTGTGTGTGTGTGTGTGTGTGTGTGTGTGTGTGCATAAGTGTGCATGCATGTTGGATGTAAGTGGGTAGAACGTGAAGATTCTAGACAGAAGGTACCCTTGTGAGATGGTTTAGGGGAGAGACAGGATGGGTGGGGAAGTCCCTACTTGAAAGGCCTCTCCCTACACCCACCCCCCGCTTCTCTTTTTGACAAAACTCAAGGCTTTCTTGGCCAGAAAGTGACATAAGGCAACCTGAGTCAGTAGACATGGCCGGGTGGCTGAGGGAATTATGGTGGGAGATGCTTTTGCAGATGGAGGCATGCATTTTCCTAGCCACAGCCTTCTCCTTCTCTGCTTTTCTCCAAGGACCCCTGGACTCTCAGAGGTGGTTCTGCATCCCTGGCTTGCCTAGAAATTGCACCAGCCACACTAGTACCAGAGGGCTGGGGGCTGCAGGAAGGTGGAAAGTGTCTTTTAGACAAATGAAAATCAATGAAATACTCAAGTGAATGCTTTCTGCCCTGCCTATGGTGTTAGGCAGCAAGAAAACTGCCTCTTCATTTGCATTAAATTATTAAGTAGCAACATTCCATTAGCAATATTAAGTGGCTATCATTTAACCTAGTTAGTTGCACTTTCAGCTGAGGGTTTTACTCTTCCGAAGCAATAGCACCAGGAAGCCTTCTCCCCTGGTGCCCTGGGTCGGAGCCCTGCCTTCACGCACGGTTACTTTCTGTGAAGCAGGCAGAGTGAAAGGCAGGTCTGATGGACACTTGGAAGCTAGAGTCCCAGCCCCCACTCCCTCTCGTGCAGCCGTGGGCTGGGCAGCCCCTGCAGGCCTCCGCTTACCCCAGCTCATCCTCCTCGATGAAGCCACTTTTGTCCTTGTCCAGCATGTGAAACACCTTCTTCACATCATCCGCACTCTTTTTCTTCAGGCCGACCATTTGGAAGAACTTTTTGTGGTCGAAGGAGTCGGTAGCTGTGGGGGGAAGAGCAGGGTCAAACAAGGACCAGAAAGGCTGGTAGGGAAGCCTGGGAGAATGGGGGGCATCAAGGCATTTGTTGATGGATTCCCACATGCCAGTCATGGGGAATGAGAGGTACCCACCTCCATTGGAGGGCTGAGGGAGCCCGGGCAAGGGAGGATAACCTGTCCAAGGTCACAAGGCTGGGAGTGGAAGAGGTGTGCTCAAACCCAGACCTCCCTGGCTCTCAAGCCCGCCCCCACGCCCCACCTCCACTGCACCCATTGCTGATGATGGGAGCAGCACCTAAGAACCAAAGGCTTTTGTTCTTCTGAGAACCTTGTGCCCAGGAAGACTTTTGAGTGCCAGCTGGTTGGGAGTGGGCTGGGGAATTGAAGGGGGCATGAACATGGTCCTGGGGTTAGGGGGAGGAGGGTTGACCTTCTTTCTTGGCCACAGACTTTGTTGCCAGAAAATTGACATAGAAAGGACAGGTTTCCCTCAAGGTCATACAGTGGGAGGAGGAGGGGCAAACCCGGAAGTCCTGGCTCTGCGCAGAAATCCACTTCGGAGGCAGTGGGAAGGGGGTGTTAGGAGGCTCCCGAGAAACACCCAGTTAAGTTTCTTCCCACATGGGCTTGAGGTGAAGGGAGAGGGTTATCCCAGGACCCTGGGAGGGTGGCTTCCCAGAGAGGTTCTTGTGCCCAGGGGAGGGGGTGCAAAGCAGAAAGGAAATGGGGGTCCTTTTCTACCTGCAATTTTCTGTATCTTGGGGTCCTGTTTTAGAACACCTGGGGAAGGGTACAATGTTAGATCATGTATTTTGTGTGTGTGTGTGTGTGTGTGTGTGTGTAGGGAATGGCTGTTGAAGTCATGTTCTCTTCCCCTCAGCACAGGGCTAGAGACAAGGAAAGTTGCCCTGTCCACCTCCGACACTAGGCTGGGCAACCCAGTTCTAATACCCCTTCTGCCCAGCTAGGTGACCTTGGGCAAATGTCTTGTCCTCTCCAAGACAGTTCCCTGATTTCCCCATCTGGAGGACAGGGGAGGAGGAAGGCGGGCAGCTTAGCGCTGAAGTCCCGGGCAGCTGGGAGAGGTGAGACTGCCAGTTCCCCTCCCCTGCCCGCCTAAGGAGGCTGGAGGTTTGAGGCACTGAGGATGCCCCGTGCGGGCTTAGGCAGAGCTGTGCGCCGGCTCCAGAAGGTCACCTCGCCCGCAGGTCCGTTGCTGAATCTCAGTAAAGGAACTAGGACAGTCAGGGGGCCAACAAAGGCTACCGCCTGGCGGGAAAAGTCCTGTCCAGAATGAGGGTCCAGGAAAGGGGTCTCTTGGAGAGGAGGATGCCCCCTGCAGTCCCCTCTAAGTGCCTTAAAGAGGACGTCCAGAGAGCTCGTACAAGGACCCTGGAGGTCTCTCCTCCGACCCTGGTCTTCGCCCTTGGTCCCGGACCCTGAGTCCTCCCAGCCACCGGGCCTTCAGCACCCTCAAGTTTCTGTAACTTAGGCGGGGCGCCCTCTTCCCCGCCCGCTCCCCGCGCCAAGCCTCGCCCGGACAGAGTTTGGGAACTGCCAAGGACGCCCCCGCCCCGACCTCGCCGGCGCCCAGCGGGAAGTGTGGGCAGAAGCGCGCTGGGGAGGATCCGCCGGCTGCGGGGCCGGCGGAGTGCAGGGGCGCGGGCGGTGGACGAGGGGAGAGGGATGGGGAGGGGAGCGCGCTTGCTCACCGCTAAAGGCTCCCACCGCCTTCTTGATGTCCTCAGCGTTCAGCAAGTCTGTCATCGACATCCTGCAACTGTTTGAGCGGGCAGAGCAAGTGCGAAAAGATTAAAAAGTGCTTTTCTCATCATTTCTGCTCATATGACCAGCGCTGCAGTGCTGCGCGCCGGGCGCACGCCCGCCGGGCCTGGCATGGCGCCAGGGGCCCGGACTCTGAGCGCAGCGGGAGCGGCTCAGTCCAGCCGCGCCGCTGAGCAGCGCCGGCCGCCGGCAAGAAGGCGCGCGGACCTGCTACCACTCCTGCACCGCCAGGCCAGGGGTCCGCGGGATCCCAGGGGCTGCGGCCAGGGCACGAGGGAAGGGGCCACCTCTGGGATTTAGGGGGCACTGGCGTCACCAGCTGGGTCTGGAAAGTCCACCTGCCGTCAAGGACACGCAGGAGGTGCGCCGTCTCAGATCTGGGAACCTTGGCGGATGTCCTGCCGCGTGGGGGAAGATCCTGAACCTTCAGCGGCCAGCCTGCACCTCAGGACCTCCTAGGCCCTGCTCCCTTTCTCTCTCCACTCCTACCTCAGCCTCTGCTCTGGTCTGTCCTGGATGCAAATTTATGCTGCAAAATCTGAGCGCTGAGGTCCTGAAACCTGACCCACCCGACGCAGGGAGGAGGTGGCAGGGACAGGGACAGGGACAGGCAGGAGCTGCTGGGGCCCACTTCGGGTGCCCCATCCCACATCTGGCCAGGGATGCATATTCTAAAACCTGATTTGATGTTTTACTTTTATTTTTTATTTTTTTGCTGGCTTGATTTTTCGAAGAACACTTCTCAGATCTCTACTAACTACTTGCTTTCCTGGTCTCCTGGGTCCTGGCATCATGGGTCCAGACTCCCCCTACTCCTATAAACCTTTTTTGGGCAGAGTAGGGTGGGAGAGTCCGCTTGGAATTGCTATGCTCCCTCCCAGAAAGCCCCATATGTGTTTGGAAGAAGGGTAGCACCTTCAGACCACACTTTCTAGACAACCTAAGCAGGTGTAGGGGTCTGAACTTCACCTCTGGAAAAATGTCACGGTGCCTATCTGTATGCAGCCAGAGACCCGTTGTGTTCTTCCCCATGGTTCCCAAGGTTTCAAGCTGCAACCAGCTGCTTCTAGAGTGTGTGAGCGCTGGACAGGGAGTCAGGAGGCCTGGGTTCTAGATCCTGGGCTGCACTAAGTCCCAGTGTGACCTTGGGTTGTGACCTTCTCTGGGCTTCTGTCTCCTTCTGATGTGTTGATGACGTCAGTGGTCCCATGTAGTGGGACCTGGGGACTGCAACTTAAGGTATTGGCAGGTAGGCAGGGCCTTGGGCTGTGGTGGCCCTGGGTGGTGGGGACCAGGGAGAGCAGCTGTCCAGCTGCCCAGTAACTCAAGTTCCCTGACATCGCTGTCAACATTGTCTCCTGCAGCTCAGCCCTGGATGGCTGCCCTTCCTGGAAACCTTAGGATACCTCTGCTGGCTCCAGCTGCCCCCTCCCTGTGAGTCAGCTCCTTCAAGCCACAGCCCGCCAGATGGCTTCCAAGGCACCAAGGATGCAGCTCCTGACCTGATGCCTCTCAGCTCCAGGACTTCCCAGGACCCCTCAGCTGCCCTGGACCCTGCTGCTACTGCCGTCACCTCTGCACCTTGTCCCCAGCTGGGCTGCTGACTCAGATATGCCAGGCTCCTATGCTATCATTTCAACTCCCAGGCTCAGCTCACTCCAGGAGCCTAGTTGGAGAATGGATTTCCCCAGCTGAAGGACGCTTCAGCTATACCAGTGGAGAAACGGAGGCACAGAGTCCGTGAATGGTCTAAGGACACATGGTAAAGCAATAGCAGAGCAGGGTACACCCCTGGACTCACTCGTGTGGAGTTCAGTGACTCTCTGGGTGATCCTCCCTGGTGCCTGGGACCCAGCTCTATCAGGTCCCATACATCTCAGCCACACACTGGCTCCTGGTGAGCCCCTAAGCAGCTACCCTGTGGCAAAGGCTGCAGCCTCAACAGGGGCCCACTCTTCTTCCATCTCCTTCCTCCATCTCTCCCTGCTGCTGAGTTCTCCTATCAACTTGACACCCCCTCCGGGACTGAGCCCTCCCAGCCAGAGCATCAATGTCATTAGGTCAGCCCATCAGCCCTGGGTAGTCCTCCTCTGCCCTCTGGGTCCTCTCTGATGGCATCACCAGAGTCCACAGATGTCTGACTCCAGCCCTCTCGTTCTAAGGCTGGGGAATCTGAGGCCCAGCCACGGGGGGCGGTGGGTGGGGGGAGTTTGCCCCAGGCCACACCAGGAGTCTGGGTGGAGAAGCAGGAATGCATGCTCTCAGCCCTACATTCCACAGCTGCCCTGCCTCCAGCACCCCCACCGCACCCCCCTCCCCGGGTCACTACGGACAGGGGAGATGTAGCTCTCCCTTCCAGCTGGCTCATCCTGCTGCATCCCTCTATCCTCCAACCTCGGTAGCTGCCACTCACCTCGGGTGGGGGTGGAGGGCTGGAGCCTGCACTGAAAGGCTGGGCTGGTGGGAAGTCCTGTCGGGAAGTGAGCCTGGAGGTGGGATGGCCACCTATATAGGCTTCTGCTCTGGCTATTTTGGGAGGTGGCACTCCCCGTAGCCCCGGCCCCCTCCCCTTCCGGTGTCAGGTACTCCCCAACCGTGGTGCTGGGTGTCTGTATCACATTCAGCCTCCCTGGGCCCATCAGGCCAAGACTATTAATAACTCTTGGCCCCTGCTTCCCTCCAGCACCCAAAATTGAGGCCCAGGCAGGGCTCGCCTCTTCCATGAAGCCTTCCGTGACCACTGTAGATGGCAGCGATGCTTCCTTCCTCCATATTCTGCCAGGAAAGGAAGAGAAACAGCAAGGAAAAGAATGAAACAAGAACTGTCCTCTGTGCATGGGGCTGAGCCCCATTCCTATGCTGATATGATCTCTCACTACAGCCTTGCCAGGTAGACATAGCTGCTCTCGCACAGATGAGGAAACAGCATAAAGACGTTAGATGTTAAGTGACCTGCTGCTCAAAGCCACGGGCCTGGGGTTGGGAGCGGACTCAGCACTTTTGTGCGAGGATCTAGTGCCTGGTAGAAGGAAATGTTCCGCATATTCTCAGACAAGTCCCTTCCTCTCTCTTTCTCAGTCTTTCCACCTGTAACATGAGCTCAATCAGAGGTAAACTGTGCCCTATAGATGGTCTAGGGCGAGGGGAAGATGGACCCCCTGAAATTGTATGCGTGTGACATTGAGGCACAAAGGCCCAAGCCCTTCATGATTTGCAAAGAGATCTCTGACATTGTCTGTTTTGGATTGGAGAGGACCAGCTGAGGGATGTGTTTTGAGAAGCATGAATGACCAAATGAATTCAATAAATACGTAGTGAATATCTAATCTGACCACCATGAAATGTTCCTCTCCTCATCCCTAACCTGAAAAGAATCTCCAGGGCACGAAGATTGTCAATGGTGGGGTCTAGTTCTTCACAGTGACACGAGGAATCCCAGGCTCCATGCAAAGGCTGTTTGGAAGCTCCATGGATAGAAAGGGCCGAGGGCAGGCTGCATGGGGGAAGCTGGGACTGGGGCCTCCTTGAGGTGTGGTGCTGGGGCCTGAGCTAGGTTGCTGGTGGTGGCAACAGGAAGGAGTGTGCAGATAGGGGAGCACCTCTTGGAGAGAAGCTTCCAGAATTGGGGCTGTGGCATGAACAAGAGGGACAAATCCAAGCTGACCCTAAATATTCAAGGTGGGGTTTGCTGAAGAAGGAAGGTGTTGACTTTGAAGGCAGGGAGTGTAGGGAGGAGGTAGTGCTCAGTCGAAGGGATGATAGAGTAAGTGGTGTTGAATCCTAGGATGTTAGGGCTGGGACAGCCTCCGTGGTGATCGGCTACAAACTTCTACAAATGACATCATGTTATAGATGAAGAAACCAAGGCCAGGGTGACTTACCCAAATCCCCCAGAGAGTAGTGGAAGAGCCAAGAGCTGATGCTGGGTTTAGGGGACCTGAAGGACACCCTGGCGGAGATGTGTCTGAACTCTGGAGTGAGGTCAGGGCTGGACCCTGGGGGCTTTGTCATCAGAGAAGTCAAGGAGTTGATCTCGTCAAGTCGTGGGCATGGCTGAGCTCAGGGAGCCGGGATGCAGGAGAACCTTGAGGATGAACCCTTGAGGAAGATCGCTGGCTGGGGCCTGGGAAAATAATTACACTTGTTTGTTGAACAGTGTGCTGGGTTCTGTGTGCACAGCATCGCACTTTGATTCTTGTATCCCCTTAAGAGGTAGGCAAAACCCTCTCTTTTTTACTAATGATGGAAGAACAAGGCTCAGAGAGATTGGGCAACTTGCCTAAGATCACAGAATGGAGGTAGGATTTCAGCCCCGGTTCTCTGACTCCAAAGCACTTGCTCCTTTCTACCACACTATCCTGCTTCCAGAATAAGACCGGAAGACGGGAGCAGCACCTACTGTGGGTGAATTCTCAGGAGCCCAGATGGCCTTCCTCTTTGTCCCCATAGGTCTTCTTCATGTACCTCTAATTAAGCAAATCTGAATGGGCTGAACCATATCGTGTGTGTGTGTGTGTGTTGGGGGGGGGGTGCATTTATTGAGCACCTACTGCGTACCTAGTGCTTTATGTGCTTTATCTCAGACGTTCGAAGAAATAGAATCTCAGAGAGGTTTAGTGACTTACCTAAGGTCACACAGGTAGGAAGTAGGTGGGAGAGCTAGGATTTAAACTGAGCACTTCTGATTCTGGAGGATCTTTCCCCCTACAATACTTAAAGTAGGGTAGAGATGTCCTAAAACCCGAGTCATATATCTGGAAACATGATCTAGTTTTTTTTTTTTTTGTTTGTTTGTTTTTTTGCTCTGAATCTGTGCTGATTGAAGCAGGCTTCATTTTATTAATTTGGTTAATTATACAAGGGCCTTGATGCCAGAAAATGGGTTTATCAGTCAGGTCTGTTTTTGCCTGTAAGTGATGAGAAAGTCTGACTTGGGCTGGCTTAAGACAGTGGGGGATTTGCTAACTCGTGCAACTGAAAAGTCCACGAAGGTTCAAGCATGGTTTGATCCAGAACTCAAATGCTGTCAGGAAGATGCTGTTTCTCTTACTTCTCAGCAATACCTTGTGCCACTCTCTCAAACTGGTTGACCCCTGAGGGTGGCAAGATGGCTGTCCCTGCAATGCTACAAACTTTCAGGTCCAAGTCCTTTGGGGGAAAGGGAGTCTACAGCCCGAGAGTTTGCTCAAAAGTCCCAGAGCTATACAAAAATTAGCTGGGCGTGGTGGTGTGTGCCTGCAGTCCCAGCTACTCAGGAGGCTGAGGCCGGAGAATCTCTTGAACCCGGGAGGTGGAGATTGCAGTGGGCCGAGATCACGCCACTGCACTCCAGTCTGGTGACAGAGTGAGACTCCGCTCAAAAAAAAAAAAAAAAAAAAGTCCCAGAGCTGCATTCACTGGTTGTGATGAGCTCAGTTTGGCCCATGTCATCCCTGAACCTGTCACTATTGATTACAAAGGGAGCACAGGCCTGTGGCACAGGATACCCTTCAGGCTTGGAGGAGGCAGAATGTCAACATCATTGGAATGGCCTGGAGAGGGAGACTGTCCCTGGACAGAGAGGTGAGGGGCTTTGAGCAGTCAAAGCCCACGAAGTCATTGTTGAGGTAAGTCCCTGGGGGCTGCCCAAGTGTGCCAGGCACATGGGAGGTTCATGCCCTAAGTCCTTGGTGAGTGTAATGACAGTTTGCCTGCATCAAACTTCTAGAGCATGATTCACTCTGAGGCCCAAAGTTGCTTTCCTGGACTTAAGTCCCCTCCCACCGACCCAGGCCCATCCTGCTCTGCGTGAGACCTTACAGACTCCACCCGCCTAGGACCTCTGCTTAAAGGCAGCAGCAGTGCCCAGTGGAATTTTCCTCTAGCTTCAGGGTTTCTTACTGTGAGCAGGGAGGAGGACCCTGAGTAGCTAGCAGATGCCGCAATCTCACACTGACGCCCCCTTCTATCCCCTAAAATGAGGCGTGGTCTTTAGCTGATCACGTTCACATAGTTCCAGTAACATATATGTTACCAGAGTGGATCCCACTATCTTTTTCTTTTATACAGATGAAAAGTTTTTACAGATGAACCAAACTGAGGTTCAGAGAAGTCAAGTCACTTGCCCAAGGTCACGCAGTTCGCCAGGACCAGAGCCTGGTCTGTCTGCCTCTTCTCACATCCAGTGCTCTCCCTGATGCCCTCTCTGGCCTCCCAGCTGGTGGAGGGGAGGAGGCCAGTGTGTGCGGGCCAGCAGTCTCTCAGCTGCCGCCTGCCAGGAGATAAGTATTCAGCTGTTAGCTTCGCTGCTGCTATTTCATGAGTTCACACTATTTCCACCTGCTGTGGCTGGGAACAGGATACAGAGTTCCCCACATCCAGGGCCCCGGCAGGCTGGGTGGACATCGCAGGATCTAATGATATCGATGAGATCAGCCCTGTGGGATGATGTGTATTAACTCAAAGGAATCTCGGCTGCATTCCTGAGAGCCGGATCTCAGGAAGCCTGTGGCCTTGTTTCCCTTTCCTCCCCTTACCCATGCTTAAGCACGATTTCCTCCGGAGAGAGCGGCCACAGGGAACACAGTCGTGAGGATGGCAAGGGCAGGCAGACAGACGGCCCTGGGTCCCTGCCCCGGCTCCACCCACTTGCCCACTGTGTGATCCTGAGCCAGTTGGTTCACCTCTCTGGGCCTCAGTTTTTCCACCTGTAAAATGGAGCTAAAGAGGAAGCCGTGGTGAATACTAAATGAGATCGTGTCTGAGAAAGGCTATAAAATCCGACACAAATGATAATAGGGTTGCCATTGTGAGGAGCAGAACTTGATCCTGGCCTGCCCCTGAATGAGAAGACCTGGAATAGCTTTATGGATAGAAACATGGAGAGCCAGGGGTGCCGGCCTCTGAAAACCGCTGACTCTCCAGGAAGGTCTCCAAGGCCAGGACCCAGTGTCCTTGCTGGGGAAATGAGGAGCCACACGGAGAGGAAGAAGGGGAGAATCAGAGAATGTGAATGCTGGAAGGGGCTGGGGCTGGGGGCTCAGACGCACTGTGGTCTGGAAGGGCCTGGGGCTCTGGAAAGAGGGTGGGTTAGGGCTCAAGGGGCCGGGGTGAACAGAGCTCTTGGCCACCTGGGTTTATGTTCTGCCCTGGAAGACTCCACCCCATCCCAGTGCTGCCCAGAGGAACCCTGGGAAGGGGTTACGGCCCCACGTGGACTGGAGTGTGAAAGGGGAGCAGGGCACCCCTAGATCATGGCTGAGGTCATGGGCTGAGGGCGCAAGAAGGAGGCATGTACTCAGAAGGCCGGAGAGGATTGGAAAGAGGAGGTCTCTAGGTTCTCCCTTCTTGGGTGGTACTGGAGGGTGGGCCTGGAGGAGCCGAGGGAGGAGGCTGGTCCACAGGGCTTGAGAACGCTCGGCCCCAAGGCATCTTCACCCCAGCTCCAAACGTAAAGGGGGTCCTAGATTAAAAAGGTGACGTCCCCTCTCACTGTATCCTCTCTTCCTCAGTCCCCTCCCCATTAGTCCCTCCTGCCCCCATCACTGGCACAGCCCACGCCCTGCAACAGAGTAGAATGGTCCTTGACAGAGGTGTGTGTCCGTGTGTGCCTGCATCTGCGCGGTGTGTCTGTGTGTGGTATGTGTGGTGTGTGTCTGTGTGTGGTATGTGTGGTGTGTCTGTGTGTGGTGTGTCTGTGTGGTGTGTGTGTGGTGTGTGTGTGGTGTGTGTGGTATATGTGTCTGTGTGGTGTGTGTGTATGGCGTGTCTATGTGTGGTGTGTGTGGTATGTGTGTCTGTGGTGTGTCTGTGTGTGGTGTGTGTGGCGTGTCTGTGTGATGCATCTGTGTGTGGTGTGTGTGGTGTGTCTGTGTGTGGGGAGTATGTGTGTGTGGTGTGTCTATGTGTGGTGTGTGTGGGGTATGTGTGTGTGGTGTGTGTGGGGGGTGTGTGTGGTGTTTGCAGTGTGTGTGTGGTGTGCATCTGTGTGTTTCTCTGTATGTTGTGTCTGTGTATGGGGTGTGTGTCTGTGTGGGTTTCTATGTGGTGTGTTTGTGTGTAGGTGTGTGTGGTGTATGCAGATGTGTGTTTGCGTATGGCGTGTCTATGTGTGGTGTGTATCTGTGTGTGTTCTGTGTGTGGTGTGTCTCTGTGTGGTGTGTGTGTGTAAGGTGTGTGTGGTGTATACATGTGTGTTTGTGTATGGCGTGTCTATGTATGGTGTGTGTTTGTGTATGGCGTGTCTATGTATGGTGTGTGTTTGTGTATGGCGTGTCTATGTATGGTGTGTGTTTGTGTATGGCGTGTCTATGTATGGTGTGTGTTTGTGTATGGCGTGTCTATGTATGGTGTGTGTTTGTGTATGGCATGTCTATGTGTGGCGTGTGTTTGCATGTGTGTCGAGGGGGAGGATGACGAGTTTGCATGTGTGTTTTTTCTGTTTTTTTTTCCTTGGAGACAGGGTGCAGTAGCATGATCATAGCTCACCGCAGCCTTGAATTCCCAGCCTCATGTGATCCTTCCACCTTGGCCTCCCAAAGCATTGGGATTACAGGCATGAGCCACTGCACCCAGCCTCCATGTGTTTTTTGGGGACTCCCATCCAGTGCTCTTCCTTGGCTCTTGGGAGGGCCAGTGGCTGACCCTTCAGAGCCATTACAACAATCCGTGTGTGTCCTCTTCAGCATCTGGCTTCTTTGCATCAAAATCAGGCAAGTTCTAATGCTCTGAACTCTCCCATAGCAAACAGGGAAAATCAAGGTCTCACCTCTAACCACTTATCTACACCCCAGTGCTATGGGCTGCCTTTGTTCCCCCCAGATTCCTGTGTCGAAGCCCTAACCCCCAGTACCTCAGAATGGGACTGCATTTGGAGACAGGATCTTTACAAAAGTGATTAAATTAAAATGAGGTGTTGAAAATGGGTCCTAATCCAATATAACTTGTGTCCTTACAAGCAGAGGAGATTAGGACACAGACAAGCACGGGAGGAGACAGCCATTTACAGTCAAAGAGAGGCCTCAGAAGAAAACACCTTGATCTCAGACTTCTGGCCTTGAGAAGGGTAAGAGGATCCATTTCTGTTGTTCAGGCCCGCTCCCAAGCTGGCTAACACACCTGGCGATGGAAAGAGCCTGCTGAGGGCGCATGAAGGAGAGGGTCTCCATTCCCGTGATCACAATGCAGATGCCAGCCCATGTGCTCATGAAAACTCTCAAAATCCTTTGAAACTGTGACATTTCCCTGCTTTAAAAAAATGTGATCATAAATATGCCATGTACTCTTTAAAGAAACAATAGAAAATAGAGGAGCTAAACAGGGCCGGGGGTGGGGGGGCGTGTCACCAGTAATCCCTTGCTACCCAAATACAACCATGGTTACCATTGATTTCAGAGGTTTTCTGCCCTCTCACTCCTGCTGGACTATCTACCTGCTGATCGTCCTTCATGTTTTAGCTTGGGTGTCACCTCTTACCAGAAGTCCTCCTGGGTTTCTTCCCCCTGACCTCGTGCCCCTCCTAGAACTCTGCATTTGCCTCAATAATGGCCTCCTATTATTCTGCTTGTTCTCTCTGTGTTTCCAGTTGCCTTTTCTGCTGGGAGTTTGAAGCACCACCATAGCGTTCAGCTTCTTTCCAGGACGGACTCCAAGGAGAATAAATCAAATGGGGGATATTTTTATGTTTGGCTCTGCGTGTACAGTGGTTCTTCTCTAAGACATTCTTGGATTCCTACTTACAGTGCTGTCGAAATCCATTTATTCACCTGCACTTTAGAGGCACCTGCTGGTGTGTAATTAGTCTTCCAGGAACTGTGACCTTCCCTGGGAACTATAGCCTCCTGTCCCCAGGAATCTTAATTCCTGATCCAAAATGGCAGCTCACATTTCGATAAGGGAGGGTGCTCTGGGGAACAGGGAGCTGGGTATTTGAAACCGGCTGAGCAAATCCAGAATGTACGATCGCTATCTGCCTTGGTGTTCCTTCAGCCAATAGGGGGATGCTTGATGTTGGTACCAATGTAAAGGCCCCAGGTTAATACAGCTAATGTGTTTTAAGGACATTGTTGAACCAGTTTTTTCTTATTAAATATTTATTGCTTCCATCCTGATTCTGGGTCACATTTGACTGAGAAAAAAATGTTTTTAAATTCAGAGGCTGAATCAGTTTGAAAATCCAATAGTTCCCATTTTGTTTCAATACTGCAGACTAACCCACAGCTCATGTTGGGGTTTAGGACCAAGGTTTGCAGAATGACAATGGCTGAGAATTGAGAAATAAACACAAACACCAATCGAGGCAGAGAGGAAATGAACTGAGGCAGCAGAACTGCCCTCCCCCTTTCCTTCCTCCTTCCTCTCCTCCTCCTCCTCCTCCCACCGCTATGTCTCTCCTCCTTTGTTCCTTTCCCTTTTGCCTCCTTGTCTTGCCTTTCTTTTCCCTAAGTCTCAATCATGAATGCTTGGTCTCACAATTCTACAGGATTAGGGGCCCTTAGCCACCAATCCAACCGTCTCATTTTCTAAAGGTTTTCCCTTGTATTACTTTTTAAATTATGGTAAAAGAAACACACAACATTCACCGTCTTAACCATTTGTAAGTGTAGAATTCAGTCCTGTTAGGTATATTCACATTATTTGTCAATCATTACATTTGACAGATGGGAAGCCTGAGGCTCAGAGAGGGCATAAGATGTCCAAGGAAAATGGCAGAGGAGGGACTCACCCAGGCCTGTGGATCTGACTTCTGGGCCCTCAAAGGATGGCAGGACATGTCTAAAGGGATGAGAACAAGGTAGAAGGGAGAGAGAGCAGGAGATGCTGTGTCAACTTTAGACCACAGTGTGAGCTCTACCCTCTCCTCCTCAACTAGAAAATGTGTACAATACTAAATGATGCTCAGTGAAAGAAGCCAGACACAAAAGGTCACACTACATATATGTATGAAATATCCAGACTAGGTCAATCTAGAGACAAAAAGCGGGGGCTGGAGGGAAGGAGGAATAGGGAGTAACTGCTTAATGGGCTTTATTGGAACCAGGTCAATGTGGCACCAACGAATCAAGGAGGGCGTCTGGGAAGAGGTGATGCTCAGGCCTCTTTGATTCCTTCTCCCTGCTCACACACCAGCCTCATGTTCACCTCTGTTTACTAGGATCATTGCTGTGGAACAATTATCCATGGAATTGTCTGCTCTCAACCTATGAGCTTGTTGAGGTCAGCTACTTAATGAGTGTTGAGGTCACTGCATCGTGGGCTGATAAAAATGTTTTGGAACCAGATAGAGTGGTGGTTGTACAACATTCTGCACACTCTGAACCCTGAAGGCATTAGGTGCCACTGAATTGTCTACTTTAAAGTGGTTAATTTTATGTTGTATGAATTTCACTTCAGTTAAAACATCTCCTATTCTCCCCACAAGATTCGTAGTGAATCTGATAGATGACAGCATATCAGATGACCGTCACTTTTACTGATTGTATGAGTCCTTTCTCACACTGCTGTAAAGGCATACCTGAGACTGGGTGATTTCTAAAGAAAAGAGGTTTAATCGACTCACGGTTCTGCAGGCTGTACAGGTTTTTGCTTCTAGGGAGGCCTTAGGAAACTTACAATCATAGTGGAAGGGCGAAGGGGAAGCCAGCACGCCTTACAAGGTGGGAGCAGGAGGAAAGGGTGGGGAGGTGCCACACACTTTTAAACAAGCAGATCTCAGGAGAACTCGATCACAAGACAGCCCTAGGCGGGTGGTGCTAAACCATTAAAGACTGCCCCCATGATCCAGTCAATCCCACCAGGCGCCTCCTCCAACACTGGGGATTGCAATTTGACATGAGATTTGGGTGGGGACCCAGAGCCAAACCATATCACTGATATAGCCATGTGAGTCATATACAAGGGAGACGTTACCTTTTGTTTACCCTGAAGGGTAACATAGACCACTGTGACAATGGCTTGCAGTAATGGCTGGCAGTGACAGCATGCTACTTCCTCTGGCGTTGTCCTGCCTCCTCCCTCCTGTAGGCTTACTGCACCTGCCATTCATCCTGTATGACTCAGCTTAGGCATCACCTCTTCCCAGAAGCCCTCCTTGATTTCTTCTCCCTGCTCACATACCACTCTCATATTGACCTGTGTTTACTGTGATCATTGCTGTGGAGCAATTATCCATGGAACTGTCTTCTCCCAACATGACTATGAGCTTGTCGAGCTCAGGGGCCCTTTCGCAGCAGGGTGGAAAGGAAACTGCGTTGATTTCGGTGCCACATTGACCTGGGTTCAATATCTGGCTCAGCCAACCTGCTAGCTCTGTGACCTTGGGACAAATTACTTACTCTTTAGGAACAACAGTTTCACATCTGAAGAATGAAAATAATATTTTCCTTATGGGGCTGTGCCAAGGAGTCTTGGATGTATTATCACATCTCCTGTGAGTCTTTGAACTTTTGTACGTATTATTATTTGCATTATATTGGTTTTGCTTTTCTCCTAGTTTTGGCCATGTCTGAATATTTTCAAACAATCTCACCAACCATATGAGCACTAGAATGGAAAGAATGTCTTGGCTGTAGGGCAACCTGGTGTCCACTGGGGGTGCCCAGCTGGTGTGGGGTGGGGGGTGAGGAGTAGCTGAGGCAGAGAGGAGATGAGTCCTGGGGGGGTGAGCATTTGGGGTCAGTGGTGACTGCTGCTGTTACACAGTGGAAATGAAAGAATATTCAGTCTCAGCTGCCAGCTCTAGCTGTGTGACACTTGCAGAGAGACTTGACCTCCCTGAGCTTCCGTTTCCACTTCCGTCAAGTGGGACTCCTGAGAGTCCTCCACTCAAGTGTTGTGAGAGTGAAATGAATACATGAATTCAACAACTTAAGCAGAGAGTGGGTCACACAATGCGCCAATAAGAGGCCGCCATACCAGGCAGATCACCATGATTCCCTGCTTGTGTAATATACACACCTTACTGGATAATAATGTCCTGTAATATAAATATACATACATTCAACCTTTGCCAGATTCTGAAAAGATGCTTCAGTAAATGAACTTTCAGTAATGCCAGATTGCTACCCAAATTCTTAAAGTGTGTTGCAGACAAGCAAGCAAGCAAGAAAGAGTTCCATTTCTTGGTGTTGCAGGCTGAAGGGTGAGCAGGTATCAGGTGGGGGAGTGTTGGGAAGGAAGTGATGCCCCCACTTGAATTCAGTCAGACCACACGTCGTGGATCGTGCCCCTCCACCTCCAGATGGTGGGAGGCAAGGGTGAGGAGAGTGACCAGGATTATTCTGCAGGGCCAGGGCAAAGTCCGGTCCCATAGTTGAGTGACCTTGGAGCGAGGGGTAGGTGAGGGCCCCACTGCCCAGGCTGAGGAGCCCTGAGCAAGCAGCTCCCTGGCGACTGCAAATTCCAGGATGGAAGTAGTATTAAAATTCCAGATCCACATGTGATTACAGAAACCTCAGCTGCATAAGCCAAAAACACAGACTGACCCCTGAACTCCCTCCTCTCTCCCTGCCTACACATTGTAATGGAAGGAAACATTCTGCAAATTCTAAACTTACCACTGAACATGAGGAAATGCTCTGACTTCTCGAGTTCAGTTTCCCCATCTGTCAAATGGGTATAACCCACCTACTTTATCCTCCCCCAATCCATTTTTTAAAAAATCTTTAGTTAGTATGAGTGAAGTTTATTTCACTTGCAATGGAAATAATCTTGACTGTGGTAGTCTATTATATCAGTGGTTTCTGATAAACCATGCTTTTAAGTATTCATACCTTTGTATGCTTGCTGAGCTGATAGGATGCGGTTCTAGAAATGTGGGCAGCCATCTTACCCACTACAAAGAGGGAATCTGTTTGAGAAATGAAAAGAAAGATAAAACCCTGATGATATCAATGAGCCCCTCGATCCAGCCATTCCTATAGACAAATGCACACCTGGGCTTTCAGTTACAAAGCCAATAAATCATCCTTCCCCAATCCACTTTTTAAAAAAACCTTTAGTTAGTACGAGTCAAGTTTATTTCACTTGCAATAGAAAGAATCTTGACTGTGGTAGTCTATTATATCAGTGGTTTCTGATAAACCGTGCTTTTAAGTGTTCATACCTTTGTATTGCCACCTTTCCTTGACTGTAGATGGTCCTTGCAACTTGCTTTATTGCCACATTTTCTTGGCTGTGGTTGGGGCTTGCAGCTTGCTTTCAACAATGGAATGGGGTGGAAGGGACACTGTGCCTGCTCTGGTTCTAAGCTTGAAGAGGTCCTGACAGCTTCCATGCTCTTGGGAGCCCAGATATGCCAGGTAAAATTCAGATGCCCTGCTGGAGAGACCATATGGAGATGTCACATGAGAATGAGAGGCCCACAGACCACACAGAGAGATTAAAGCCCAGCTTCCCAGTGTCCTAGCTGAGGCCACCCTCAGCTGATTGCAGCCACATGAGTGACCACAGGCAAGAACAGAAGAAGCACCCAGTTGAGCCCAGTTCAGATTACAGAATTTAGAGAGATGATAAAATAATTGTTGTTTGAAGCTACTATGTTTTGTTGTAGTTTGTTGTAAAGCAATAGATAAATGAAGCACTGGCTCATACATTATGAAGTTGTTGTTAGGACTAAGATAGTGCATGCAAATTGCTTAGCACGGTGACTGGCACAAAGAAAGTGCTCATTAAGTATCAATGATTCTTCTTGTTGTTGATAATAATGATTACAATGATTCTTCTTCTTCTTGTTAATATGATTCTTCTTCTTCTTCTTCTTCTTCTTCTTCTTCTTCTTCTTCTTCTTCTTCTTCTTCTCTTCTTCTTCTTCCTCTTCTTCTTCTTCTTCTTCTTCTTCTTCTTCTTCTTCTTGTTGATATGATTACAACATGTTTGTTGCCTAAATTAGGTCATGAACTCACTGAGGGTGACAAGTGTGTCATATGCATCGCTGTACTCCCAGGATCCAGCACAGGACATGCATATTGTAGGTAGTAGGTCATTGCTGGTTTCAACGAGTGCATGGATGGATGGATGACGGATAATGAACAGAAGGATGGATGGATGAACAGCAAGTGGAAATGTTTGAAAAATGTAAAACACAGAGCTCTATGCAGAGTTTGCCCTTAGCTTGTAATTTTTTATCTGAACGTACTCTAAGTGGAATTCAAGCCAAAGGTTATATGGGCCTTTGACTTGACTACAAGTATGGAAAGACTTTGAATGCAACGGGGACTCAGAGAAAAGTGGAGACCTTCGAAACAGGGGCAGTAAGGGAGGCTTCTCAGAAGAGCCAGATTTGGATCTGGGCCTTGAAAGGCGAGGAGAAGATGGATGGATAAAGAGAGCTAAAGTAACCACTGGGACTGTAGAAATGAATATGGCTATGATTCGGTATCAGTTCATAATTTTCCAGAAAAACAGATCAGCAGAACCAGAGTGAGAATCCTTAATCAATTTAGATTCTGACCCCTGACTCCAGCCCTCTTCCACAAAAACATCTAATGTACCTGTCCATGAAGTCAGACCTACTCTTGAGATTTTTCAGTTCCATGAGCTAGGAAATTCTCCTTTTCTGCTTGAACGAGCCTAAGTTGGTTTTTCTGTGACTTACAACAGAAATGGGCCTATTCCATGCACCCCAGGAAGTATCCTCAGCTCATTTGAGACAAGGCATTCAGAAGCACCATTTGCCCTGGACTTAAAGATCGCTGAAGACATTTTTTTTTTTTTTAAGACAGAGTCTCTCTCTGTCACCCAGGCTGGAGTGCAGTGGCGCGATCTCAGCTCACTGCAACCTCCGCCTCATGGGTTCAAGTGATTCTCCTGCCTCAGCCTCCTGAGTAGCTGGGACTACAGGTGCATGCCACCACACCTGGCTAACTGTTCGTATTTTTAGTAGAGACGGGGTTTCACTGTGTTAGCCAGGATGGTCTTGATCTTGCCGAAGGCTTTTTCTTAATCTCCTAGAGAATGGGAAAATAGCTTGATTACTCTTTCTTTCCCCATTCAAAGCTGGAAGGAAAAAAGTCTACCAGTAGTCTATGGGGGTAAACAACTAGAGTCAGAGATTCTGGGCCTTAAATGCTACCTCTCTCTCTTTGTCTCTGTCTCTGTCTTTCTCTCTCTCACACACACACACACGCACACACACACACACATACACACACACACACACATCTTTTCTCCCAAAGGCTGAATTCTCTCTGATTGGCTTCATCTACATAGAAGGAAGTCTCATTTCTAATTAATTGCTCCCAAGCTTCCGGTTGACAGCTTTGTCACCAGCAAAGGACTGTTTCACTTCCCTTAATTCCAGTTTGAAACATGCAAGCAACAGTGTCTGATGGGCCAGGTTCATGTCAGCTGCTCATCTGTATCAGTCCGCATGGACTCAGTTGTGCTGCAGTAAAAACAATCCCCTAAGTCTCAGGGACTCATCAAAACAAAGGCTTATTTCACACTCACATGAAGTCCACTCTGGATCCAGATGACTTTCCAGGGCAAGTGACCTCCTTGTAACAACTCAACAATCCAGGCTGAGGGAGGCTCCACATCAAAAGGGCAGGAAGTAGAGAGCCCCTCTGAGGCTGGAGGGGAGAAGAATCAGAAATAGCAGTAAGTGGCAGGGTATCCACTCCACCATCCCTGGGTTACTGCCAGGGGTGAAGTTGGAGGGGGACGAGGCTGTGGTGCACCTGTAGCCACTTGGAGTTCACACGTGTGGTGGGGTTGTTTTCAAGGAGAGAGAACTGGGCCAGGCACGGTGGCTCACACCTGTAATCCCACCATTTTGGGAGGCCGAGGCGGGTGGATCATCTGAGGTCAGGAGTTCAAGACCAGCCTGGCCAACATGGTGAAACCACGTCTCTACTAAAAATAAGAAAATTAGCCGGGTGTGGTGGTGTGTGCCTGTAATCACAGCTACACGGGAGGCTGAGGCAGGAGGATCACTTGA
Source organism: Homo sapiens (assembly GCF_000001405.40). Lineage (NCBI taxonomy): Eukaryota > Metazoa > Chordata > Mammalia > Primates > Hominidae > Homo > Homo sapiens. The sequence goes on from NT_187631.1 coordinate 54,720, forward strand.
ACCTGGGAGGTGGAGGTTGCAGTGAGCTGAGATCACACCACTGTACTCCAGCCTGGGTGACAGAGTGAGACCCAGTCTCAAAAAAGAGAGAGAGAGAGAGAGGACTGTTTTAAGCCAGGAAGCCACCCCAAGGGATGCTCATGACATATAGGCAAGACAGCCAACAGCCCACTCAGATTTACCCTGGGTGTGGTAAGTAACAGGGATAATACCCCACATTTCGCATTTCACAGAGGGAACATACAGACCCTAATAAGTAAAGAAACTTCCCTAGACCTCAGAGATAGGCTCATTTTATTTTAAAAATTTAATAGATATGAGATAAAACTAGTATAGTAGAATGGTCATGGCCAATCCACAGCAGTGGGTACATGGTGCTCATTTTAAAATTCTTTCAACTTTTCTGTAGGTTTGAAAACTTTCATAATAAAATATTAGAAAGATTTTAAGTTTAAGTTTATGTTTAGAATAATTAATACATTTATATGCTTCAAAATTCAAAAGGTACAAGAGTTAAACAGTGAAAAGTCTTCCTCTTGCCTCTTCTCAGCCACGCGCTTCCCTCCCCAAAGGCAGCCAATGTTAGCAGCTTCTGCTGATGGCTTTCCTGAGCAGAATATGTGTGTATACAGCAATTCCAAACAGATGCGGTTCTCCCCATTTATAGCATTAGACACTGACATGGTGACAAGGATTTCCTCCACACCAGCTGAATGCTTTGCATGATTATCTCATTTCATTCTCCTAACAACCCTGTAAGGGAGACATCATTATCCCCAGTTTATGGATAAGAAAACTAAAGTTCAGAGGAAACATGAATTATTACAGATCCCATGGATAATAATTGGAAAATCGTTAGGATGTAAACCTAGGTTTTTATTTTATTTTATTTTATTTTATTTTATTTGTAGAAATGGGGTCTTGCTATGTTGCCTAGGCTGGTCTTGAACTCGAGCTCAAGCGATCCTCCCAAAGTGCTGGGATTACAGGCGCCAGCAATCAAGCCTGGCCAGAACATTGATTTTTTTGACCTCAAATCCTGTGCAATGAGCCACCATATCGTCGTACAGGTATGTGGACTTGTACCTTGTCCACAGGGTGTGGGAGTAGAGTCTCATAGATGGAGCAAGAAATGAGAGCTCACACACCACCATGAGAACCAGCGTCTGCTGGTGTTAGAGGCTCCAGCACATCCTAATTTTCCCTGAGCGTCTTTTCCCAGCAATGTCTCTGGAATGGAAGTAGGTACACATGCGTACTTAAATATGTACCTATTTCCATATGGTTACTTAAATATGTACCTATTTCTATTCCAGAGACATTGCTTGGGAAATGTGATAAGTGTCACATCAACTGAATGGGGATAACCAGAAAGTAATGTACCTCCCCCTGCCCTGGCTCTGATGTTGTAGGTCTAGTCCTTTCCCTAGTCCTGGAGGAAATCTTTTTACTCAGGTAATAAAAAGCTTTCCGTGCTGGTGGCCACACATATCTGTCAGTTAGATAACTAGCATGTCCAGTCTTGTTTAATAATCAAAACCCCAAACTCTGTTCAGAGGTAAAGCTTTGCCCCTGGCCTAGCTGGAGCCTGGTGTGAGGGGAACCTGTGGTGGGAAAGGGGGACGTGTCACCACCTTGAGCTTCCAGTGGCAGCCAAAATCCTAGCTGAGTGCAGTCATATGAGTGACCCCAGATGGCACCAGCAGCAGCAAAGCGACTATCCGGCTACCAACCTGAAGAGTCCTTACAGATAATCTACCATTGAAGATTGATGTTTAGGGTGGGTTTTCCATGGTAATAGACCATTGAACTACACCTAACAGTTTCTCTTTAGGGTTGGGGATCATAGTACCCCAAGAGCTCTCTCTAAAGAACAACCTGCATACTTCGACTTCTCTACCTCTGCAATTTTAACCCTTTTATACCTTCCAATGCATGAAAAGCCAAGAGCCATGAAACTGGTTTTTTACCTTCTCCTTTGCAAGTCCAGCATGAGGGGTCTAGAACAGGGCTTAGCAAACTATAGTCTGTGGCCAAATGAGCCATGGCCCACAAAACCTGTTTGCTATCTGGCCCTTTAAGAAAAAAATGTCCCGTTTGAAATATGCAGGCAACAGTGTCTGATGGGCAAGGCTCGTGTCTGGTGCTCATCTGTATCAGTCCGCATGGACTCAGTTGTGCTGCAGTAACAAACAATCACGCAAGTTTCAGGGACTGGAATCTCACTTTGGAATGTGAGAACAGGTGGCAGCTCTTATCATAGACCCTCAGCTAAAACTGAGATGGAAATAATTGCATTATAACAGACCGTTACAGATGTTTGATGAATAGAGCATTCCATGGCCAAATACATTCAAGAAATGCACTGTGGATCACCCCTGTAATCCCAGCCCTTTGGGACGCTGAAGTGGGCAGATTATCTGAGGTCAGGAGTTCAAGACCAGCCTGGTCAACATGGTGAAACCCCATCTGTACTAAAAATACAAAAATTAGCTGGGCATGGTGGCATGAGCCTGTAATCCCAGCTACTCGGGAGGCTGAGGCAGGAGAATCGCTTGTACCCAGGAGGTGGAGGTTGCAGTGAGCCGAGATTGTGCCACTGCACTCTAGCCTGGGTGACCGGGCGAGACTCTGTCTCAAAAAAAAAAAAAAAAAAAAAGAAATACACAATGGAAAAATAAAAGGCAAACAAGATTCTTTCATTGAGCCTTCTCTCCAAGGTGGGAAGAAGAGGCCTGTAACGTCCTATTGTCCTATAGCTCCTGGACCCTTTCAGCTGGAGCATCCCCCGTGACAACTGGGGAACTCCTGTTGCCAGATGCAGGATGGTGGACGTGAGAGAGGCAGCTGGAGCCAGGCAGAGTTTCTCCACCCTGTGTCTTCATCTTAGCCTTTCTGCCCTCTTTCTTCCTTAGAGTTATCTGGCTGTCTGCTCATCTGGTCATAAACCGTTTTGTTCATATTAGGCCATGAGAAATGTGCAGTTCTTGGGTGGGGGGAGATGAGGAGGGAGGCTGGGGATTTTGCTTTTGAAGAATGCAAGGAAAGGACAAAGTTGAATCTAGTGATCTCACTTTCTTTCTCTTTTGTCACCATCAAAGCTGTGATTTGCCACTTAGCCCCCTCGAAACAGTTTCGTGGTTTGCTGGAGTTACTTCTGAGCAGATTTATTTATGATCAGAAGGAATATTTTATACCAGGAGGAAATTAATTCTGCTCAGCCTTCCTGCACATTCCTTTGACATGACAGGCTCCTCTTTTGAGGGCTGTTTTAACCTCTAGCTTCTCCCTTTGATATATTCAGGAGGCCCCAAAAATGCTGAGCCATCATCCTCACTCCTGATGGCCTTGCCATCATTCTGAGAACTAAAAAAGAATTAAATTGCAGTGGAAATGGTCACAGAATGCTCTTTTCTCTTTGGAAAGCTAATGTTAATTTGGAGTGAGATTTATGTAGGAAGCTTAAGGAATCTGTTAAAAGAAACATTGAGTTGATTTTCTAATTGACCACCATGTTGCATTTACATGTGTGACATCTGCAGATGCTCCAATAGTACGACTACACACATAAAGCTTTAGTGATTTGGTGATTGCCAAAAAGGCAGTATTTTTTCTGATTGGCATAATTTCTACCTCCAATTTACTGGAACACTGGGCATGACTGAGACGCCTTTTTAGTGATGTCTGCTGTTCTGCATGTTCAATAAACATAAAATTGAGAGGCTTGGCCATGGTTGTGTATGTGCAGCATCTGTGATCCAAGTGGAATTTAATGGTGGAATTGGGGCTTAACAATGGAATCCTGGGAGTGATATTTGGGCCTCAGGGCCCTTACTCTGCAGAAATGAGTGATGGGGCCTGTATTAGTCCATTTTCACACTGCTGATAAAGACATACCTGAGACTGGACAATTTACAAAAGAAAGAGGTTTATTGGACTCACAGTTCCACATGGCTGGGAGCCCTCAGAATCATGTCAGAAGGTGAAAGGCACATCTCATATGGAGGCAGACAAGAGAAGAGGACTTGTGCAGGGAAACTCCCCTTTACAAAACCATCAGATCTCGTGAGACTTATTCACTATCATGAGAATAGCAGGGGAAAGATGCGACCCCATGATTCAATTATCTCTCACTGGTCTCTCACACAACACATGGGAATGATGGGAGCTGCAATTCAAGATGAGATTTGGATGGGGACACAGCCAAACCATATCAGAGCCTATTCATATGGAGCCGACTCTGTGTGTGTGTGGTGTGTGTGTGTGGGGGGGGGGGGTGGTGTGTGTGTGTGTGTGTGTGGGTGGTGTATGTCTGTGTGTTTGTATGTGCGTGTGGGCAGTGTGTGGGGGCAGTGTGTGTGTGTGTGTCTGTGTATGTGTGTGTGTGTGGTGTATGTATGTGTATGTGTGTGTGTGATGTGTGTGTGGGGGGGTGGTGTGTGTGTATGTGTGTGTCTGTGTGTGTGTGGTGTGTGTGTGTCTGTGTGTGTGTGTGTGAGTAAGGTTGTCAAGTTAGCAACTGGTCAGGCTCCTCCTGGGCTGGTCCCTGCCTGTCTTCAACACCACCTGGGTGGTCCCTGCCTGTCTTCAACACCACCTAGGTGGTCCCTGCCTGTCTTCAACACCACCTGGGTGGCGTGTGTGTCTCACGGCTGTTATGCTGCCTGAGCCTGTGTGTGACTGGAGCAGGAGCTGGCATTTCTCCAGCCCCTGTTGTCCGCCAGGTGTTTTGTGATGCTTTCTAATTGTTTCTCCTGGGAGCCTCCTCGCAAGCTGGTGCTGGGCTGCACTTTTGGCCAGCCTCGGTGTGCTGGCCAGTTCAACTCAGGAGCCTTCAGCACTGAGGGCCAGCCCCAGTCTGCGGTGTCTGCCCAGGACGGCCAGTCCCTGCCAATCCGGCAGGTCCTCAGAGGCCAGGCTGAGCAGCTGGGGCCTTGCAGCAGGACACAGGGTCACAGCTGGACCCAAGCAGAGAGCCTGCTGGGCCTGAGTGTCCAGGTGTGAGGGAAGGGCTTCCTCCCTCCAGAGAACAGGGATGCAGGTTCCAGCCAGGTAGACCTTCCTGCTTTGTGAGTGTGTCCAGAGCAGGGAGAGTTTCACCCACAAACCCAATATGTGACAGGAGCAGCATAGGGCATACCCACTCTGCTCACTCAAAGGATCCCCAGGAGCTGCTCTGGGGTGCCTGAATTCTCACCATCACAGGCTGGAGTGCAGTGGTGCTATCTCGGCTCATTGCAACCTCCGCCTCCCAGGTTCAAGCTATTCTCCTGCCTCAGCCTCCTGAGTAGCTGGGACTACAGGCATGCACCACCATGCCCTGCTATTTTTTTTCTTTCTTTTTTTTTTTTTTTTTGGTAGAGACGGGGTTTCATCACGTTGGCCAGGCTGGTCTCAAACTCCTGACCTCAGGGGATCCGCCTGCCTCGGCCTCTCAAAGTGCTAGGATTACAGGCATGAGCCACTGCGCCCGGCCCATCAGTTCTTTTTCACCATCAATCCACGTCTGACCTTTCCTGTGCCTAAGCTGTCATAGAGGGTAAATGCAAACCAAACACACTTCAGATGGAAAACACCTCACCCTTCTCCCAATTCTCAAACCTTGACTCACTTCCCATAGCACATGGAGGAGAATGCTAGCATCTTCCCACAACTCGCTCCACCTCTCCTCCCACCCAGCCCTTCCTCCTTCACTGCTAGTTGCCCTGCTGGTTCTAGAACATGCCTTGGAACCTTCTCCCCCAGATACCTACATGGCTGTGTCTAGGACCTCATTCCAGTCTCTACACAAATGTCACCTCATCAGAGGCCTTCCCCGGCCACCATGTCCGAAGAGACACCCAGCCCTACCCTCACTTCTCTCTCTATCTGCTTCCCTTGCTCCGAGGCTCTCTTGCTGCTCAACTGTGGATTATACATTCATTTGTTCCTCATTTCTCTCTGTCACGAGAAAGAAAACCTCAGGTGTTTCCCCACTGCCACAACAGTGCCTGTCAATAATTGAGCCCTCAGTAAATACCTGTAGAATGAAAGGAAGAATCTTTTCAATGGTGGAAGTAACTCAATACACCCATGGTCCTCCAGTGGCGGGACCCTAGTGCTTCTGAGGGAAGGAAGATGCTGCTGTGGCCAGATTCCAGGAGGGAAGGGAGAGCATGACCCCCAGCCCTCAGGACAGATGGGGCGTGGCTGCTCCCACCATGGCTCACTGAAGTGCATCTGATACACCGTGTTTGCCACTCCAAAGTTTAATTTAGCTGATGTCTTGGCTGTGAGCAACAGCTGGTAAATTTAGTTGGGGGATTAAGAAACGTATAAGATGCATAGCTCCTTAAAAGGAGCTGGATGTCAGGGGAAAACGAAAGCCAGGTGCATCCTGAATTTGGCTGTGAAAGGCGGGGCAGCCACCTTCTTGGAGCAGGCCAAGGGGCTGTGTTTGCTGAATCTTCTGAGGGGCGGCATCTCCACATGGAGGTGGCGGAGGGCGAGCCTGGGGACACATCCAGTGGCTGCCATGTCACCTAGCCACCCAGGAAATTCCTTCAACCTGCTGGCAAGGATAGGGACAGCTCTGAAGACATGAGTCTGCCCAGAAACCATAAACAAATAGATTGACAAACATTACTGTAGCAAATTAAAACTTGTGTGAGAGTTAAAAAAAAATGCCATGGACCAAGTTCAAAGCAAACAACAAAATGGCCAAATAATACTTTCAGACAAGTGCTAGAAAAAAGACCAATGCTGTTGATTTACAAATAGCTCATAATCAATAAGAAAAAGATGAACAGTCCAATAGAAAGGAGGGTCCTAAGGCACAGACAGGAGGCCAATAATACAAATGCAAAATACAAAAGGCCAATAAATGTATGAAAATATACTCAGCCTCCTCTGCCATCAGAGAAATACAAACCAAAATCAGAGACTTTTTTAACTTATCAGATGGTCAAAAATGTTTAAGTACAGTTGTATTCAGTGATGGCAATGAATTAAGAAAATGTAAATTTCTATTTTAGGAGGGAAATTTTGAGATTTCCATCCAAATTAAAAATGCACATGTGGCTGGGCATGGTGGCTCACGCCTGTAATCCGAGCACTTTGGGAGGCCAAGGTGGGTGGATCCCTTGAGGTCAGGAGTTCAAGACCAGCCTGGCCAACATGGCGAAACCCCATCTGTACTAAAAATTCAAAAATTAGCCGGGCATAGTAGCAGGTGCCTGTAATCCCAGCTACTTGGGAGGCTGAGGCAGGAGAATTGCTTGAACCTGGGAGGCCGAGGTTGCAGTGAGCTAACACCACTGCACCCACAGTCCAGCCTAGGTGAAAGAGCAAGACTCCATCTAAAAAAAAAAAAACAAAAGAAAAAGCTGCACATGCCCTTTGTTCCAGCAATTCCACCACTAGGAGGTAAGCCTCCAAATATTCTTTTATTTTTAATGTATTATATGACTTTATTATATGAATAAATGTATGAATAGTCTCCCAAATGAATGTTCATTTCAAAATACAAGCACACCTCCTTTGATTGGGTTCTGCTTTGTTGCACTTTGCAGATATTGGATTTTTCACAAATTGAAGTTTTGTGGCAACCTTGCACCCAGGAAGTCTATCGGTGCCATTTTTCCAAGAACGTGTGCTCACTTCATGTCTCCGTGCCACATTTTAGTAATTCTTGCAATATTTTCAGCTTTTTCATTATTATGATATCTGTTATGGTGGTCTGTGATCAGTGATCATTGATGTTACTATTGTAATTGCTTTGGGGCTCCATGAGCCATGACTATGTAAGATGGCAAACTTAATCGATACATGTTGTGTGTGTTCTCACTGCTCCATGGAATGGCCATTCCCTCTCTCTCTCTCTATTCCCTGAGACACAAAGGTATTAAAATTATGCCAGTTAATAAGCCTACAATGGCCTCTAAGTGTTTAAATGAAATGAAAAGTCCTGTCTCTTACTTTAAATCAAAAGCTAGAAATGGTTCAACTTAGTGAGAAAGGTATGCCAAAAGCTGAGATAGGCCAAAAGATGGGCACCAGACAGTTAGATCAGTTGTGAATGCAAAGGAAAAGTTCTTGAAGGAAATTAAAAGTTCTACTCCAGTGAGCGCACGAATGATAAGAAAGTGAAACAACCTTATTGATGATATGGAGAAAGTTTGAGTGGTCTTGATAGAAAGTCAAACCAGCCACAACATTCCCTTAAGCCAGAGCCTGATCCAGAGCAAGGCCCTACTTGTCTTCAATTCTGTGAAGGCTGAGAGAGGTGAGCAAGCTTCAGAAAGAAGCTTGAAGGTAGCAGAGGTTAATGCATGAGGTTTAAGGAAAGAAGCTGTCTCCATAACATAAAAGTGCAAGGTGAAGCAGCAGGTGCTGATGGAGAAGCTGCAGCAAGTTATCCAGAAGATCTGGCTAAGGTCATTGATGAAGGTGGCCACACTAAGTAAGATATTTTCCATGTGGATGAAACAGCCCTCTGTTGGAAGAAGATACCATCTAGGACTTTCATAGCTAGACAGGTGAAGGCAATGCCTGTTTTCAAAGCTTCAAAGGACAGGGTGACTCTATTGTTACGGGCTAATGCAGCTGGTGACTTTAAGTTGAAGCCAGTGCGCATTTACCATTCTGAAAATTCTAGGGCCCTTAAGAATGATGCTAAATCTACTCTGCCTGTGCTCTATAAATGGAAAAATAAAGCCTGGATGCAGTACATCGGTTTACAGCATGGTTTGCTGATCATTTAAACCCACTATTGAGACCTATTGCTCAGAAAAAAAGATTCGCTTGAAAATATTACTGCTTATTGATAATGTACCTGGTTACCCAAGGGCTCCGATGGAGTACAAGGAGATTAATGTCGTTTTCATGCCTGCTAACACAACCATTCTGCAGCCCATGAATCAAGGAGTAATTTCAACTTTCAAGTCTTATTATTTAAGAAACACATTTTATAAGGCTACAGCTTCCATAAACAGTGATTCCTCTGATGGAGGTGGACAAAATAAATTGAAAACCTTCTGGAAACGACTCATTGTTCTAAATGCCACTCAACATATTTTTGATTCATGGGAGGAGGTCACAATATCAACATTATCAGGAGTTTGGAAGAAGTTGATTCCAACCCTCATAGACGACTTTGAGGAGTTCAAGACTTCAGTGGAAGAAGGAACTGCAGATGTGGTAGAAATAGCAAGAGAACTAGAATTAGAAGTAGAGTCTGAAGATATGACTGCATTGCTGCAATCTCATGATCAAACCTGAATGGATGAGAAGTTGCTTTTTTATGGATGATCAAAGAAAGTGGTTTCTTGAGATGAAATCTACTCCTGTGAAGATGCTGTGAATATTATTGCAATGACAACAAAGGATTTAGAATATTCCATTAACTTTGTCGATAAAGCAGCAGCAGGGTTTGAGAGGACTGATTCCAATTTTGAAAGAAGTTCTACTGTGGGCAGAATGCTATCAAAGAGCGTCACGTGCTACAGAGAAATCTTTCTTCCAAACTCCTGTTAATGTTGATATTTTGTCTTGCTTGGTGATGGTGATGATGATGGCAATGATCATGGTGGTGATGATGATGATGGTGGTGGTGGTGATGAGGATGGCAATGGTGGTATTGATTATGGTGACGATAGAGGAGGAGGAAAAAGACCAGGGGCAGAGGAGGGACCAACACAAGAGAAGAATGAGAAGGAGGGGAAAAAAGGAAAGACCAACTGGAAGCTAGGATTGCCAGGCACTTTAGAGTCATAAGCTGATTCAATTCTTCTAATTATGCCATGAGACACAGAGTAGCCATCCCCCATCTGAATTTTATGATTGAGGAAACAGAGGTCAATGTTGTGAGTCGTCTGAGGTCTCCCAACATACAATAGTAGAGCCAACATTTGAACATTCAGCTCTGAAGATGTCTTTCTAGTTCCATGCCTTCTCACAGCGCCTAGCACAGTGTTTGGTACGTAGTAGTGCTCTTAGAATTTATTTCTAGAGGAGTTTGTATCTCAAAATTAGGCTTTGGGAGTTGCCGCAAGGTTTGTGGCCCATTTCTTTGGGAGTCCCCAGAGTGTGTTGGTTATTAAGCTGTCATCTCATATAAACCCCCGATCCACCCTCCCCCGTTCAGCTCCCAGTCTAAGGCTGGGATTCTGCAAACCCATTTCCGCACTGCCAGCTCCCTCCTGTTAGGCCCTGGCACTGGTGGGTGCTAGAGGGAGCCTGTGAGGCTGGAGGAGAAGAGCCTCGTGCTTTCCTTCCCACTTGCCCATCCGCTGAGCATCCCCTCAGCTTCACTTATTCACCCCAGCACTGGTCCCTCACCCTGGCAGCAGCACTTAGTTACCCCCTCTAGTTTTTTCTAGAACCCTCCAAATCAGCCCCATCACACTCCCTCAAGATCTGAGGGTCAGCTGGCCAGTGTTCCCTCCTCAGCCATCCACATCCCAGCTTGTGCAGTCTCTTTTTGGAATTTCCGGGTTCTGTTCACCACCACCTCTCCCCTTTGTTCTGACAGCCCTGGGGGCAAAGTTCCTTCCTGAAGTTACTATCTCTAGGCATCTCACTTAAGTCCCCCATTGCCTTTTCAGGCCCAGAGACCTGTCTAACCAATTCCCTATAGTAAATTCCCTCTGTTAAAGTAACTGGTGTGTGTGCTTTCTGGTTTTGACTGGGTCTTGACTGATGCATGAGGTCAATTTGATTTGGGACAGTAACCATCCTTCAGATCCCACTCTTGGGGAGAAAGAGGGACAAGACAGAGAGAGAGAGAGAGAGAATGAATCAGACTAACACCATTTTGCATCAAAAATAAGGCTTGCCCATGAATAAATAAATGGATTTTACAACTTACTTAGCCATCTCTTTCCTGTTGGTTTTTGCTTCCTACTTTTACAACCCTGACAGGCAAGGCTGTGAGTGCAATGAAGCGAAGTCCTCGGAGTCTGGATTTGACCCCTTTCAGCACTTCTACTCTGGTCTCAAGGACCAGAGAGGGGAACTGCTATCCCTTTAATGTTCTGGCCCAACCAGGGCCACAAACTCCTTCCTGGATTTATTCTTGGAATATCAAAGTCAGACTGCAACTGTCAAAGTGCTTTAGTAAACTCTAAGGAAAAACAACTAAGAAAATGCAAAGAGGGCATGGATGTAAGCAAGTCTTCCTGGTGCTTGGAACCTGTTTGCACCCTGTCCTTCAAGAGAATCCACAGAAACATGGCTTTCCGGGGTCCCTCACTGACTAGCTCCTGGGCTGCTTCCCTGAGAACAGCGCCATTTGCCACCTATTTCCAGGGCTTCGTTTCCTGATCCTATTAGTGCCGAGAATGCTGAGAATGTTAAGTTAGCTCATTGATTAATTCATGTATTAATTCATTTAACCACCCTATGAGATAGGTACTCCTCTTAGCCCCATTTTACAGATGACAAAACTGAGCCACAGAGGCTATGTAACTTTACTAAAGTCATTCAGCTGGTAAGTAGGACGCTGGAATTTGAACTCAACTAATCTGGATCCAGAGTCTTCCTCTGATCAAACCTCTCCATTCTTTCTCAGGGACATCCCTCTTCTCCAGGTGGCTCGCTCTGCGGGGGCATGGCCTCACTCTTGTATACTTCCATTGGCCAGAAGCTTATTCCTTAAAAAGACAGTCTGGATTATTAGAAATTTCTTTATATTGAGCCTGCATTTCCTTTCCAGTTGCTTTTAGCCCCATTTCTGGGATTTCCCCTTGAAGACACAGATTAAATTTACATTTCTTCAAAGCCAACATGAGTCTCTTTCTGAGTTCTCTCCTCTTCTCACATTGCCTATGTTCATCTGACTCTCTACCATCTTCTAGTAGTGTGACCTTGGACCAGTCACTTACACACTCTTTGCCTTTGTTTCCTTGTCTGTAAAGTGGAAACTGAATGAACACACACCTCGCTGGGTACTTTATCCAAAAGCCCCTGGAGCAGTGCTGAGCATACAATATTGTTCTGCAACCTTAACCTGCCCAATCATTCGAATGGGGATAACTGTTAAGCTTTGCTTGGTACATGGTATGGTTGTGTGGAACCAGCCACAGACCTGTGATTCTGCCTTTTTTTTTTTTTTTTTTTTTTGAGAAGGAGTCTCACTCTGTCGCCAGGCTGGAGTGCAGTGACACGATCTCGGCTGACTGCAACCTCCGCCTCCCGGGTTCATGCAATTCTCCTGCCTCAACCTCCCGAGTAGCTGGGACTACAGTCTCCTGCCACCATGCCTGGCTAATTTTTGTATTTTTAGTAGAGACAGGTTTCACCATGTTGGCCAGGATGGTCTCGATCTCTTGACCTCGTGATCCGCCCACCTCGGCCTCCCAGAGTGCTGGGATTACAGGTGTGAGCCACCGCACCCAGCCGATTCTGCTTTCTGTCTGTCTATCTCCACTGTCCTCCTCCTTAGACCCTATCAGCCCTGCCCTGAGCTCACCCTCAGCCCAATGACCAGCTTCTAGTCTTGCTCAGCTGCAACCTCTCTTCCCTTCAGCATCCACGGTGTTCTTGGTAAAACACAAACCTCACCCAGTATCTCCTCTGTTCAGATCCTTCCCACACCTCTCCTGGCCTGCCTGATAAAGTTCAAATTCCATGGCTTGACTTATAAGGCCCTCCTTGGTCTGTCCGCTGCTGATCTCCTGGCCTCTCCTCTCCTGTTTCTCCCCTCCTGCTTCATCTTGAGCCAAACGAACCAGCTCCTGGGTCTCTGAGCCTTGCCTGACTTTGTGCTGTACCTGCTTTGTGTCTGAATCCCCAGGGCCTAGCACTGTGCCTGGCAACCATCCGGGGCTCCGTAAACCTTGGCTGGTGTGTGATGCCGAGAAGCGAATGCTCTGTAAGCCACTGCTGCATCCGTGGCAGTTCATGCCATGATTTTTTCCAGGGGTCATAGTCAAAATGATTGTCTGATCCAGAGCAGTGTCCATGTGGCCCCCAGATGTGCCCAGCATTAACCATTTAGGTGATGGGCATGAGGAGGTTCTGGGCATGCCATGGGGAGGGGGAGGGGCAGCACAGGTGCTGGGAGGCAGTGGATGGAACCAAGTGCTACAGATGCACGTCCACGTTTTAACAACTAGTACAGCTCCAACGTTCCCTCTGGAAAGCGCTTTCTTCCCCTGGGTCCCGTTTCCTTCCTTTCTCTCCCCAGCTTCCCCAGGCCTTGCCCTGTTGCTCTGCCAGCCACCCCAGCACAGCCCTCTCAGAAGGCTTTTATTTTGAAGCCTGCATAGGGCCTTTGGTGACCTGTTTTCCCCAGAGTTTGCCCACAGGGCTTGGAAAGCCTCTTTTACCACATGGCACTGTGCACACCAATCTGGCCTGGTTCTTTTTGCCTAAAGATCCCTCATCCCCAGGACCTCCATTTTCAGGATGGGGACATGGAACACGGAGCCCATGGCATATACCAAACAAACAACATTGAATGGCATGTAAAACAGTGGTTCACCACATGACACCTTCATTCAAATGGGCTTGCAGATTGGCTTAGCCTGTGAGAGGACAGGTGTAGGACTGACAGCCCTCGACAGATGGGAGCCAGGTGACCTCCACCAGGGGTCTTCATCCGTCAGGTAGGACCAGCATCTCCAAGTGCGGAATCCCCTCTCCTATGTGGCTGTTGCTTCATGTTTTTTCATGGCACCCAATGGGTTAGCTTGTTGGTTGCTCATGTAGTCCGTAGAAAGCCATCTTTGAATAGGTGACAAAGTTTGAAATGTCTGCAAGGGAACCAGCAGAAAGTGGTTGAGGTGACCCTTCCATGGGGGGAGTCTCTCTACAAGGGTGTATCCGTGTGGAGCTTTGGCAGTTCCGAGCCTCCGTTCCCTCCTGTATGACATGGAAGCTGTTGCCACCAGCAGCACTGCATGGGCAAAGGGAAAGTACCTGGCCAGCCCAAGGTCCCTTCTCCTGGGTTCTCATCAGGTTCCAGTGTCCCAGGCCATGTGATGGAGGCGAAGCTAGGGCACCCTCTGGAATGAGAAGCATGAAACTCAAGTCCCAGCTCATCTCTGTGACGTCCAGCAATTCATTCCCTCCAAGCTCCAGTTTCCTCATCTGTGGGAGGAATACTGTAAAGAAAAGAAAAAAATACATATTGCAAACTTTCAAAAGTGAAATGCTTATTCTGGTGCATTCCTGGGGGAGAAGGGAGCAGATGACTTCCAAGTTCAGGAAAATACCTTGATTCATTTTGGTGTTGTTTTTGCTGAAAAGGAGAGGCCTTCTGGGAAAAGTCTGGATAAAAGACAGTTGCACATACAGAAAGCAATCAACTACTTTGTGGAAAAAAGTTACAAGCATTGGTCTCTCCTCCCTCCTGAGCCCTTGTTGACATAGAAAGAAAAAATATCTATATCTATATCTATCTATCATCTATCTATCTCTATATGTATATGTATGTATGTGTATATAAAGGATAGTCCGTCAGTCAAGGACAAAGAGAAGAGAAAGAGCATCAATGGATGTGAGATGGTAATACACTGTGGAAGGCGGGATTTGCTTCGAGGAAAGGTAATATATTCAGAAGGGCAGCAAACCTACACAATGGTCAGGTGTGGTGGCTCAGGCCTGTAATCCCAGCACTCTGGGAGGCCCAGGCGGGTGGATCACCTGAGGTCGGGAGTTTGAGACCAGCCTGACCAACATGGAGAAACCCCGTCTCTACTGAAAATACAAAATTAGCTGGGTGTGGTGGTGCGTGCCTGTAATTCCAGCTACTCAGGGGGCTGAGGCAGGAGAATCGCTTGAACCCGGGAGGTGGAGGTTGCAGTGAGCCGAGATCGTGCCATTACACTCTAGCCTGAGCAATAAGAGCAAAACTCTGTCTCAAAAAAAAAAGAAAGAAAGAAAAGAAAAAGAAAACCTACATTACGCAGAGCGGAGCGCCAGTGAAAAGAAAACCAATGAGCTCAGACCCGCCCCCGCCCCCCACCCCCCCGCCACAGGGTCCCCAAGGTGAGGGGAGCAGGTGGAGAGGACGACGGGGGTGCAGTGAGAGCCAGCAGCCCGGGGCTTATCCTTGAGCCTCCTTCGGGAAGTCGATTCTCTGAGGATGGCAGAGAGGAGAGTCTCAGGACACCACGGCCACCAGCATAGCGGAGGCCTATGAGTGCCCTACGGAGGGGCATGTGCAGAGCCCCTCATCCCCTGGTCATCCCTACACCTTCTGCCCTTCCGTTAGAGTCTGTAGATAGGGTTTTCGGGGGATAAGGGGCAGGTCCACGCCCTACAATGCAGGGCTCCGGGAGGTAGGGGTTTCAGATGGGAGTGTGTGGGGGCAGAGGAACAAGGGGAGAAAAGACCCTTTCCCTCCCTCATCAGAGAAGAAGAAGACTTTTGGAAAGACCTGGGAGGGGTGCTGGAGAAAGTCTAGATCCTGCTATTAAGTGGAAGGGGAAGTGGTCTGAGCATCAAACTTTACCCTGAGGCTGAAGCCCCTTCTAAGATCGTTGTGAAGCCCATTCTAAGATTCTAAAGATCACCTCGTGATCTTTCTTATCGCCCCCAGGGCTCCAGGGCACCCACCATAACACTCCTAATTCCATCATCTTAAGCACTTACTGTGTGCCAGGCAGATGTTCCATTTCGAACCCTTGTGATACCTTTCTAGTGGATGGCGTGTGGAGTCTTTAAGGAGAACTAGGAATTGGTTAAGCAGAGATATTGGGGGTGGGGGGTGGAGGCACTGGAATATGCAAAGGCCTGGGCACATTGGGGCTTGAGGGACCACCTGCCCCAGTAGTTTTAGCTGGGAGAGGAGAGGAATGAGTCTGGAGTTAGGCTGGAGCCTGGCTGAATGAGAGCGATATGGACTCGTTTTCTTAGCCACCGTGAGGCCTGGAGGGATGGGATGTGTGGGGTTAGTCATATTCAGGAAAGGCCTCCCAGGAGCTGGTGTGGATGACAACCCGCAGGACGGATGGAGGACAAGACCAGGTGGGCCACTGTTGAAATTATTCAGGCAGGAGAGGAGGAAAATCTGAATTTAAGCCCAGGCTGTAGGGATGGAGGAGGAGAGGCAGTTAGAGGGAACTTAAGGAGGTGAAATACATTCCTGACAGATCGGCTGTGGCAGGCCAAGGAGACAGGAAGGCCAAGGTGACTCCAGGTTTCTGTCTTCCGTAAATGGTGGAGACAGAGCTCAGGAGGAGGGGCCGCTGTGGAGGGAAAGGAACCACTGGCTTGGAGGGGCTCGGGGAACAGCTAGGGAGAGGTAGGGGGTCCAGGAGGCAGCTGGGACACACGGCCTGGTGCCCAGCGAGCGACCGCAGAGTCCTCGGTGTGCAGATGGTAACAGAGCGCTCGGGAGTAAGGAAACCCCCACTCAGAGTGCATGCTGGGGAAGGTGGCTGAGGTTGGAGAGGCATCTGGGAGGAGCCCCAGTCACAGAGGAGAAGCGGTGGGAGCAAGTGGCACAGGGGTTGGGGGAGCCGAGGCAGCATTGTGGGTGGTAGGTAATAGCAGAGGCCAGGCCAGGCGCAGTGGCCCACGCCTGTAATCCCAGCACTTTGGGAGGCCAAGGCGGGTGGATCACCTGAGGTCAGGGGTTCAAGACTAGCCTGGCCAACATGGTGAAACCCCGTCTCTACTAAAAATACAAAAATTAGCCGGGCGTGGTGGTCCACGCCTGTAATCCCAGTGACTCAGGAGGCTGAGGCAGGAGAATCACTTGAATCCGGGAGGCAGATTGCAGTGAGCCAAGACTGCGCTACTGCATTCCAGCCTGGGAGACAGAGTGAGACTCCGTCTCAGAAAAAACAAAAACAAAAAACAAATAGCAGAGGCCACAGCTGCAGAAGGACCCCAGGTGAGGGCTGGGGACAGGAGTACACTGAGGGCTGTGGCTAGGAGGTCACAGCTGGGAGCAGGTGGCCGAAGGGCCAGGAGCTGAAAGGCCAGTTACAGAACTCCCAGGACTGCGTGTTACAAAGCTCTCTGGTTCCTGGCTGTGCAGCTCCGAGAGAGTGGGGCACCCTGGGCAGTCGTCGCCACACTGTGGGCATGTAAGAGGGAAAGCTCTCCCCTTAACGTAGAGGGCAGAGCTCATGAGGAGCGAGAGATGCTTTTATTTCAATCACCTGGGTCCTGGCCTCATCCGGCAAGAGGGCAATGTCCGAGATCAAAAGCCCAGTCCTACTGCAAGTCTACCCACTTGCTTTGTCTCCTTCTTCACTCTCGGCCTCCATCCTCCCCTCTTTTTCTCCCTCCCTTCCTCCCACAAACCCTTATTGGTCCTGTTTTGGACACTGGTGATTCATAGATGAATGGGACATGGTTCTTGCCCCGAAATGTGCCCATGCTATGGAATCTTCAGCAGGAAGAGGTGAGAAGTGAAGACGCTGACAGAGGCTGGAATTAAAGTGACAGCTCTAGCTGGGGAGGGTGCTGCCCCAGCCTTCCAGGGAAGTCTTTGACCAGTTTTGAATCTTAGGTGATGCAAAGAATCAAATGGATGAAGAAAAGCCATAAAATCATAGAGATGGGAGGAAGACGGGGAGAATGCATCAGGAGAGGTCAAGTTGATGTACAGGACAATGAGCAGGCAGAGGAAGGGAGGAAGGCATGTCCTGGGGCCCGGGCTGGAGGGAGGGTGCGGGTGGGTGAGGGGCTTCAGAGTGCTGCAGCGCAGAGGAGGGAGGAGAGGGCTGTGGAAAGGGGAGGTTGCCATTCCTTTGTAGTTAATATTTGGAGGCACGACTGATTTTTGAATATAGTTTCATGCAGATGCTGGTCAGCCTGGAGCCACACTTTTCTGCTGGCTGTAGATTTTTCCCCTTTTGATGCCTTTAGGAAAATCAAATTCCAACATGTCTGTGCTGGATAAACTGCAGCTAGAGGAGCCCTCCTTTCCTGGGGCAGTTTCAAAGGCAGTGGCATCTTAGCAGCATCAGGAACCAGAGGTAGACCCTCAGGGAGGAGGCAGCCCTCAGGCAGCTGCTCTGCCTCACCCCTCACCCAGGATTCACCTTCCTGAGCTCTTTTTAACCCTCTCTGTGAACTGTCGCAAGGTAGTCTCTTTGCTGTTAACTCTGGTGCAGCGTCCACACAGACCTGCTTGCTTTTATAAATAAAGTTTTATTGGAAGATAGTCATGCACATTCAACTATTTATTGTTTATGGCTGCTTTTGTGCTGTGACAGCAGAATTCAGCAGTTGTGACAGAGACCAACTCCCTGCAAAGCCTAAACTATTTACTATCTGGCGTTTTTTAGAAATTATTTTTCAGCTGGGTGCAGTAGCTCACACCTGCAATCCCAGCACTTTAGGAGGCTGAAGCAGGTGGATCACTTGAGGCCAGAAGTTTGAGACCAGCCTGCCAACATGTTGAAACCTCATCTCCACTAAAAATACAAAAATTAGCGGGGCGTGGTGGCAGATGTCTGTAATCCTAGCTACTCAGGAGGCTGAGGTATGAGAATGGCTTGAATCCGGGAGGCAGAGGTTGCAGTGAGCTGAGATTGCACCACTGCACTCCAGCCTAGGTGACAGAGCGAGACTCCAACTTAAAAAAAAAAAAATGAAAGAAAGAAAATGAAAAGAAAGCATTTGCCAATCCCTGCTCCAGTGTACTGGGTAGGGTACAGGTTCAGCTGCTGTAACAAGCATCAAAGAATCAGCTGCTAAAACACAATAGAAATTTCTTTCTCCCTGAAAAATCTGAACAGAAGCAGGGTCAGAGATCCAAGCTGTTTTGTTGCTTAACTGTTCTCCATAGCTGGCCTCTCCAGCCAGCTGGAAGGGGAGATGGGAAATGGAAGATACACCTTCTGTCTTTCACGACACAGCCTGATAGCATGTCCATGGCCTCCCCTCCCATTCTATTGGCCAGCAACTGGTCACATGGCCACAGGGAGCTGCAAGGTAGGCTGGGAAATGTTCTCTTTAGCTGGGTGGCCATGAGTCCAGCCACAACTCAGGGACTTTATCACTAAAGGAGAAAGGACAGAGTGGATCGTAGGGGATATTAGCAGTCTCTGCTACACCTTATCAAGAAGAATAAAGACAGAGTGCACAGGGGAAGGATTTGGCATTCCCTGCAGAGTATTAGAAAAAAATTTGTAACATGCTCAAATGAAGTAGGTATCAATAACGGATATAAAATACCTCCTTCTTCCACTTCCTCCCTCAAATATTTATTAAGCCCTCATTTATATTAGGCTCTATTTGGATGCATTTTGCAGATAAATAACCTGAAGCTCGGAGTGCTTGAGGGAGATGTCTGAGAGTTCATAGCCAAAGAGTGAGAGCTCTTTCTGCCTTATTGCCTTGCTTCCCTTGGGACACCCTGGGGCTGGGAGCTGGGCCTTGCAGCCTGCTAGGCTGGCTAGGTTTGGTGACACAGAAAGCAAATGAATAATTTTTAAAGTGAGAATTCTATAAAGGAGACTGCTTGAACAGATTCTGTTAGACTGAAAAGGCAGAAGGAGACACCGAGGTCACCAGAGATAGAAACTTCAGGAA
Organism: Homo sapiens; assembly: GCF_000001405.40. Taxonomy (NCBI): domain Eukaryota; kingdom Metazoa; phylum Chordata; class Mammalia; order Primates; family Hominidae; genus Homo; species Homo sapiens. The sequence goes on from NT_187631.1 coordinate 74,196, forward strand.
GCAGCCATCACCCCTGCGGCTGTGGGAACGGAAGGAAGAGAGCGGGGTTACCCTAGCCTGGAAGCTTGGAGGAGGAGACTTAGACCTGCGGGGAGGAGCTGGGACTCAGAACTGCAGACCTCTGAGGAGGGGGTGGGGTGAGACTGGCTCTGGGAATGTGAAAAAAACTAAAACCTAGAATCAACTGCTGCTGGGCCAACATGGCTTCCAGGGCAGGGCAGTTGGGTCCCGCCTGCAAAGAGAAAGAAGCAAGCCCCTCCTTCCTCTCCCATCCTTCCGGCCTCCCTCCAGCGCCCCCTCCTGGCCAAGGGCAGCGGAAATCAGCCAGCAAAGCAGAACAAACAGGGTTTTGAGTCCCAGCTCGGGCACCACAAAGCAGAGGGTAGAAGAAAGGTTTGGAGCTGGGAGAAAATCATTTAATAACCAGCCCCAAGGCTATGACTCATTTAGACCCCCAGTCTGTGCAGACCTGGGGCCACTGCCTCTGAGCCAGTGCACACCGGGTACTCTGGAGCCTCTGTCTTCTGATACATGGGTCAGGGGGAATGCAAAATGATTCAACCACTTTGGAAAACAGTTTCCTTCTTTTTGTTTGTTTGTTTGTTTGTTTGTTTGTTTGTTTTTAGACCGAGTCTCGCTCTGTCGCCCAGGGTGGGGTGCAGTGACGCGATCTCAGCTTGCTGAAATCTCTCCTGGGTTCAAGGGATTCTCCTGCCTCAGCCTCCCGAGTAATTGGGATTACAGGTGCCCACCACCATGCGTGGCTAATTTTTGTATTTTTAATAGAGATGGGGCTTCACCATGTTGGCCAGGCTGGTCTCGAACTCCTGACCTCAGGTGATTCACCCACCTCGGCCTCCCAAAGTGCTGGGATTACAGGCGTGAGCCACCACACCCGACCTGGAAAACAGTTTTCCTATAAAGTTAAATATGCATCTACCATATGACCCAGCAACTCTCTCTTAGATATTTACCCAAGAGAAATGAAGGCACATGCTCACTCAAACATTTATGCTTGATGTTTGTAGCCCCTTTGTTTTAACAGCCCCAAACTGGAAAACAAAAAAAAAACCCTAATGTTTATGAACTTGTGCATGGAAAACAACTTATGTTATATCCATACAATAAAATACTACTTGACAATAAAAAGAATGAATACCGATGTACATATCAACACTCATGAATTTCAAAAGCGTTATACTATGTGAAAAAAAACAGGCACAAAAGATCACATACTCTGTGGTTTTGTCCGAAATTTCAGAAATGGCAAAATACTGTGATAGAAAGTGGATCAGTCATTGCCAGGGCCTGGGGGCAGGGGAAGGAGATTGGCTGCAAAGTGTCCTGAGGGATCTTTTGAGATAATGGAAATGTCCTATATAATGATTGTGGTGCTGGTTACACAACTGTCCAAACCCATGGAATTGTATACTTTCAGTTGGTAAGTTTTACTGTGTGTGAATTGCACCTTGATAAAGCTGATTTTTTAAAAATTGAAGTAGAACGCTGTTAGAAGTGGTGCTTCCTCCCCTTGTTTCTAATGCCACCCTCTTGCAAGCCCATATCCAAGTAGTGGACCAAGGCATCTTATAAAAACATAAATTCAATCATATCACTCCTTGTTTAAAACACTTGAATGGTTTCTCTTTCCTCTTTGAATGAAATCCTGAGAATCACCATGACTTACAAGCCTATCTGTCCTGCTCACTGACCCTGACATTTGGAGGGCCTAGAGCAATGGGACAGAGGCCCATGTACCACGATTCTAAATATGTACAGTTAGGAATCAAGCCAATCAACTGCTAAAAAGTAAGTTCTATCCTTCTTTGATAAATGTACCTTCATGATAAACTGGAAGGCCAGGTTCAAATGTAGAGTTTGGAGTTCTGTCCCAGAATGTAAGGTTAACGAAAGGCAGACGCTAGACTATAGCCTACTGCCATTGCCTTTCCACCCCCGGATCCATCTGAAACCTCCAGGCTACCTGCCAGGCCGCTGTAGACATTTGTGTCCATAACCTCTGGGGACCAAAGACAGCACTGGAGATGGAATCAGAGAAACTGGATGTGAAACATGTATCTCTTGGTTTTCCCCAAATTGTACTTGATTCTGTATGTGTGTACATGTTTGAGCATGGGTATGAATGCACGTGTATATTTGCATGTGTGTGCATGCATGTATGTGCATTTCTATATGCCTGTGTGTACATGCATGTGTGTGCAGGTGTACATGTACATGTGTATATGTATGTGTCTCTGTGTACATGCCTATGTGTGCATGTGTATATGTACATGTGTATGTGTATATGTGCCTGCGTGTGCATGTGTATATATGCCTGTGTGTGCATGCATGTGTATGTGTTTATACATGTTTGTGCATGTGTATGTGTGCCTGCGTGTGCATGTGTATATGTGCCTGTGTTGTGCATGTGTGTTTATTTATGTACCTCAACAGCAGTGTGAGCTACCTGAGGGCAGCAGTTGTGCTGAATTCATCTCAATATCCTTTCTACCTGGTGCAGAGTGATACTAGATGAATGCTTGTGGAGTGAATAAATGAATGAATGAGGGCCAGTACAGCAGTTATTAAGTGTGGGTCTTGAAGCCAGACTGATGTGAGGTCCAAATCTTACTCTGCCGGTCATTAAGCAAGCCGCTTTGGTTTATTTTCCTAATCCCGTAAAGCCTGGGTTTCCTTATCTCCCGGTGGGGATAAGAATACCACTATTTTATGGGGGTTGGTGTGAGGATTAGGTAACAACAATCAGAGCCAACATGGACCAAGCCAGGCTGTGGGCCAGGCACTGTACTAAGGGCTTTGCAAATGCTAGCTCTCGTGCTCCTCCTGGCAATTTCACGGTGTAGGGGTGGTTACACAGTCAACTCTCAGAGTGACTTGGCTGTTACCGTATTTATGATGGTGGAGAGGAGATTCAGGATTCTTAGCCCCTGGGGGAAGCTTCCCCTGAGTGCAGCTCAGATTCTGGCTGATAGGGCTGTCTGGAGAGGTTGTCTGAGCCAGCAGGCTGCGCGCTCTGCCTGGCCAGCTGCAACTTGACTCTCGACTTGGCCGGGTCCTTCTAGTGCGGCTTATAGCATTCAACCTCCTCTAGGTGGCGCTGCGGAGCGGGGACTCGGCTGCTGATCGCGGCGCCCCCTGGCGGTCTGTTCCCGTCAACATTTAGATTAAGCGCAGAGCCGGTTCCGCCAGGGAAGTGCGCGTCCCGGTGCCCCCGCCTGATGAGAGCGGATGACAGATTGCGGGAAAAAGTTAGAATGTAACGTTAGTTGTATGACAGAGAGGACCAAGCTGTGCAGCAGAGGGAGACAGAAAAGGGAGGGACCAAGCCACAGCAAGGAATGATCGTCAATAACATTAACGTCTAGAATTTATTGACCACCTGCTATGCGCGAGCCACTGTCCTAAACATCTGGTATTCATTCCCTTAGTTAACACACCTCTAGTAAGTGCGTGTCTCAAGAACAGTGTCTGTGTTTCATTTAGGGCCTAGCACACAGTGGGTGTCTGGCACATAGTAGGTTCTCAACACATTTGGAAATGAATAATACAATAATCCTGCAATTTTTCTCTCCAATTAATAATGTAGAGGCAAATATTATCTCCATTTAGAAAACTGAACAATGGTCGGAGAGTTTGCACAACTAATGCGTGACACAGCGAGGGCACACGAGGTTTAGACCCAGCTCAGCCGTGTGCCAGGGCTTCTCAGAGAAGAGAAGACCCTCTGCCTTCAGGGAGTTTGCTGTCTAATTGGCCACGTCTACACCCTCCCTGCCTGGGTGGCATGCCAGGGATGGCTATTTATGGCTCAGGGAGGAGGTCCAGTGAAGTTCCCCTCATAAATTATAAAGGGAGACACATGTGGGTCAAGATTGGGGAATTCAGTGTGTGAGGGATCCCCAGGAATCTTACACTGTCCAATCAGGGATTTTCCTTCTCTTACCCTGGAGAGTGGCTGATGTAGGCAGTGGGGATTTGCTGAGTACCTATAATGAGCTCTCAAGGGTATCTCCTGGTCCTGTAGAAGAGGCTCACCTCCTCCCTATCACAGAGTTCCAGTTCCTATGGCTGGAGCTCTCAGCCCCAGCCGCTGGCTGCTCAAAGGAGAGTTTCCTCATGTCCAAAATGGGGGCTATGGTTTATCTTGTATACCCCAGCACCTGCATGAGGAAGGACTGAAAAGTGCTGTGCACTTTTGTGATTCGCACATCCAGTCCCCATTCAGGCTCTGGGGATCCCCCAAGCATGGTCTTGGTGTATTAGACTTTTTCCTGAAGATGTGATTATGAATGGGCATTAGTAAGTGGTGTTATGCAGAGATGCCCTTCTCTGAATGGCCTCTGGTATTTGTTTTTTGAGTTCTTGAGAACATATATATTTTTTGGTATTCCATGGTCTTTATCATTGTCAGGCTGTCACTGAACTGTCGCTTGCATTTGGCTGCCCCTGGTAATTTTCTTCCTTCCCCTAACTCACTGCTTCAAGTTCTTGAGTTGGCAGGAAGAGAGGACCAGGCTCCTTTTATATTTCTTCTGTGAATAAAATATGCCAGTGTCAATGCATAGACTTTGAGCTATCAATTCTAACCATTCAATGGCTTTTCTCTTTTTTTGGTTTATTCACAGGCTGTGGGATGTGGAGGTTATCAAAAATCAGGTCTCCATAAGTGAGAGGTCACTTCAGGCATTTCTTTGCACTTATCCAAAAAAGATTCCATCCATACTTGTTTAATGGAACGTGTGAAGAGCTTGGCTCCTCTTCCAGGTCATCCCTCTGCCTCATTCTCCCCCTGCAGCAGGAGCAGCAAGAGCCCGGTTCTGGAGTGGGAGTAGAAGGTACAGGCATTGCTGCAGCGGCAGGACAGGAGCCCATTGCTGACAGAGTGCCTGGCCTCAAATTACACTGTATTAGAGCTCGGGCATAAAATTGGCAGCAGCGTTCTGTGTATGAGGAGACAGAGAAATACCTGTATTCAGCAGAACCACGGGCAGGGACAGAAGAAAAGGAGAGAAAGAGGGGAGGAGGGGAAGAGCTGGCCCGTCGCGGGCTCTTCCCTGGACATCTTTGTCCCCCAGGTGCAGAGGTGGCTTCCCAGTGGCTGAGTCAGGGCCACAGGAGGTTTCTTGGGGGGTTGGGGGGGCCGGGGTTTGGAGGGCAAGCCATGAAAATACCTGGGAAGGTAAACTTGAGGGCTTAACCCACCTGAAACACACACATACAGATATACACACTGAAAACGATTAAAAAAGGAATAAGAAATGTCCATGTGTCTAGGCACTTTTATACAGTTTTCTATTAATTCCTACTACAACTCCATTAGGCAAGACTGTTTCACAGATTGGTGAAGAAGAAAGGTTCAAAAAGGACATGTTATCTTGCCTGAGTTCACCTATTATAAATGTACTTGTGTTTATACTCATTTGTCACCGACTGCAACCTAAACATCTAAACACATTCTCTCACAGCCACAATGCCACCACTATACACATTATATGGTCTTTTATAGACACAACACAAATGCACTTACACTTGCCTATGCGAGCTGTATGTGTTTATACACAAATATGTGTTTCCAACTATAGGCATATACTACACACACAGTTTACACAATCACCTACAAATTCTGTATCATGCTTGCTTGCTAAAATTGTTTTGCCACTTCCTGTCCTTCCTGACCAACTGTAGGCCAATGTCCTCCTCTTCCCTCAGTTATGGCTGTGTGCTTGCACCTGTTGGTACTTACAGACACCTGCACTAATAACCCTGCTCTTTCTGTGTTTCATTTCATCCTCTAGCCTGGGAGCCCCGAGACACCAGCAACTCATCAGACTTATTGTTTGTATTATTTCTAGTTCTTTGGGTGTGAATTCTTCATGATGTGGAGGCTCTGAGCTGTCTTTCACAGCTCACGATTTGTAGTTTTGGTCTGTGAGTTGACAGAGTAGGCCCTGCAGAGTCACTGACTCCAAGCTGTTTTTATATAATGCCTCAGCTTAGGATTTCTGCACCACGTGGGTAGCTTATATCGGGGCCTTACACCAGTGCAGAGGGCAGGCTTGAGGCTGATCTGGTACACATGTCCCTTGTTCCACCCATGGACTGTGAGAGGACCTCAGCTCCTGCCGTGACTCTAGGCTGATGGCTGAGAAACTCTGTTCCCATAATCAGTTCTGACACCCACTTTACACTGAGAACTCAGATTTGACTTTCTGCTAACAGCAGGACCTGTGGCCTGTACCTAGTCCCAGATTTGGCATTAAAATCTCAGCCCAACAATGCATATCCAATCTTGGTTTTCCCATGGGCTGTTGGCCACGTTCCTCTCCCCCTGGTATAGATTCCTGACCCCTCTCTTTGATCCTACCTAAAAATTATGCTTTCTTGTTTTTTTTAGCTGGGACTTGTATGTTTAAAGTAGTTTAAAACAACTTTCTGCTCTGCATGTATGAATACGAGTGTGTGAGCGTGTGTAGCTGGCAGGGAGTTACTGGGTGTGGCTGTGCCAATGACTCCTGTGGACCTCTTCTCAGAGAAGTCCCTTCAGAATCAAATACCCATACCTGTTAGGAGCTGCAGTCACTGACTGGCAGCGTTTCATTCATTCACTGAATATTGGTTGAGCACTTGCAATGTGCCAGGCACGCTGCTAGCCAAGGAGGCAGTCATTAAACATACAGATAAACAAACAAATGTGAGATGACAATAGTTATGAGTGCTCTGCAGTAGACGTGCAGGGACCTGTGAGAGAATGTAGTAGGGAGGGCCTTAATTTAGGGTGTGTGGTCAGGGAAGGCCTCGCTAAAGATGTAGCTTCTAAGCTGAGATGCAAAGGAGGCAGTGAAGAGCTTTTTCCAGCAGAGGGAACACCATGAGCATAGGCCTTGGGGCGGACGTCTTAGAACATTCTAGAAACGGAAAGGAGGCCAGTGAGAAAAAGGGAGCTCAGGAGCAGAGGCTGGGGAAGGCTGCAGGGCCTCAGGGGCATTGGAGGCAGGCAGGGCAAGGACTCTGGACTTTATCCTGAGCACAGGGTGATGGGGCAGGAGAGTTTAAGCAGGGAGGGTGAAACTCACTCTGATTGGCAGCCCTGTGAAAGAGGATTGGCTGGGCATGGAGATCTAAGGATGAGGAAAGGATATCCCAGAGTGCCAGGGCGCGCAAACCAAACTTCACACTCTAGGAAGACAGAGGCCAGAGGAACCAGGAGGGCTTCCTGGAGGAGGTGGCATTTACTCTGGGCCTAAGAGATCACAGGAAAATGGAGGCCAGCATTCTAGGCCTGGGGAAGAGTTTGGGCAAAGGCTTGGCAGTAAGAGAATAAAGGTGGGGCTTGATGGGCCAGAGGATAAGTGACTCCTCAAGGTCACAAGACACCCTGATGGCTGGGACCCCATCTCTGATGGAGCAAGGCTTCTGATACCCAACTGAGGCTTGGCGCCAAGGACTGACATCAAGGAAGTGGATTCCTGCAAACCTGGCACCCGAGGGTCCACTTCCTCAATTTCTGTGCAGCTGGGAGGTGAGGTAAGAGGAAGTGTGGGCCACAGGCTAGGCCCAGAGAGCCTGGAGGAGGAGCCTCTGCCAGACTGGAGAGAAGCAGGCCTGAGCCTCCCCAAAGGCAGCTCCTGGGGACTCCCAGGACCACAGGCTGAGACGAGACGCAGGGTGGCTGGAGGAAGTGAGAGGTGAACTCAGCCTGGGACTGGCTGGGCGAGACTCTCCACCTGCTCCCTGGGACCATCGCCCACCATGGCTGTGGCCCAGCAGCTGCGGGCCGAGAGGTGAGTGCCGGGGTGTGGCCGCCCCCGGGCCTTCTCACTGCTCCTCATAGGCCTTAGGGACAAAGGCCAGTCCTTCTGCAGTCCCTGATCAACATGAGAGGCTGGGGTTGAGTCAGAACCCAAATACTCAGAAATGCAACCTCTCAGAACTGCTTTAACGAAACTTTGAGCTGTGGCTCACCACCCTCAGACACAAATGAGAACACTGAGGCTCCAAGAGTGGGAGTGACTTGCCCACGGTCACACAACGAGTGACCGGCAGTGTCTGGAGAGGAATGCAGGTGTCCTGGGTCCCAGGCTGGGGCCCTTTGCTTCACATGGTGATCAGCAATGACTTTCCATCTTCTGCGCAAACAGAATTCACAGAATCTGGCTTGTTCTTCCGCTAATCAGGGCTTGCCTCAAATGTCACCTCCTCCAAGAAGCCTTCCTGACAGCCCCTACCTCATTGCTGTCTGACCCTTTGCCCTATTTCCCTTTTCTGCCTGGTTCTTATATTACAGGAATAATATTATATGCTCATTTATTATTTTTTCTTGAACGTTGGCTCCCCCATGAGAAGCAAGCTCCACGAGGCTGTGTCCGTTTTGATCGCTGCTGTATCACTAGGAGGTAGCTCATCCCTATTGAGCACCAGGACCAAGGGCTCAATAAATGTTGCTGAATGAATGAATAAATGAATGAATGAATGGGTGGATCTTTGAGACGGAAAAGGTCTTAGATTCTTCTAGTCCAACCTTGCCATTGTACAGATTGGAAATCTGAGGCCCAGGGAGGATAAGAGACTTACTCAGGGTCACAGAGAGTGACTGGCAAGGTTGGGGCTTGGAGCACGGCCTCACCAGCATCTAGCCTCGTCGCTTGGGAAGCATTTTCAGAATTTTTCCTCAGTAGCCAGGTCTGAGCTCTAAGCTGCGGGGGCCCTGAGGACGCAAAGCCTGGCCCCTGCACCCCCTGGATTGGAACAGCAGGTGACCTCTGTTACCTACGTGGAGGCCACTCAGGGGGTCACCAGAGACAGGCCAGGCTGGTGTGTGCCTACGCGGGGAACAGAAGGCCCATGTTGGGGCCTGGGGCTGGAAGTAGAACCTGAAGCGTGGGTTGGGGCAAGGGCAGCAGAAGCAAATGCCTACAGGGGAGTCCACGTGGCCTTCCTGAGCCTCAGAGCGGGGTGCAGGAGCTGGGTAAGGCTGGCCGACCTGAATTCCTTCCTCCCCTCACATGCTCCTGGGGGACCCAGCCGCACGCAAACTCGAATCTTCCGGAAGCAGCAGCTGTTTGAGGCTTGGGCACTTCCTGCTTTCTGGGGTACAGGGTTCAGGGGATGACACGGAGAGCTGACCAGCAGGACTGTGCACTCCCTCCCCCACTCCCTGTCCCCTTTCAGCTGCCTTAGCCCTCAGAGGGGGAGGGACTGCTTTTCATGAGGCCTTGAGCCAGGTACTAGGGGCATGGGGGCTCCCTGTACCTCGAAGGTCTTATCTGAAAGCGAGCCTGGATTGTTCTGCTTAAGGTCAAAGCAGAGAGTACAAGGAGAGGGCGCAGGTTCGCGCAGCGGGGACTTTCTAGAACCCCAAGGTGAGACATCCAAAGATGGGGAGGGCTGCCTTAGGGGTGGCAAGTTCGGTTCCAACAGACATGTTTTGAGCACCTACTATGTGCCAGGTGCCAGAAAACCTGCCCTGGCTGCCCTCCAAGGGTTCTTCCAACCTCGGCCTCCCCCAGGGCAGGCTCCAAAACCTCCCCCAGGCCAGGCTCCAAAGTCTGTGAACTGTGCGAGTGTGTCTTGAGCCAGAACATCCCGGCCCAGTAGGGCCTGGGTGAGGTCCCCAAGGGAGCGGATATTCCAGGGGACTTCCGGTTGGGTTTGCTGCTCTTCTTGCCCGCCCCACAGGCAGCCAGGCCATTCTCATGCTGCCCATCAAAAAACTCTATAATTGCAGACGACGGTAGTGGCCGTGTATTGAGCAGTACTGAGCACCTACTGTATGCCGGGCTCTGTTCTGGGCACTGGGATGTAGGGTGAGCAGAGTCCTTGCCCTCATGGAGATTTTAGGGCTGTGTTTGTTACAGATGGGACTGCATGACCACCCGGAGACATAAGTACTTCTCCTGTCCCCATTTTACAGAGGAGGGAAGGAGCGGAGCACAGCTAGGAATCTTCCCAAGGGAGCTTGATCTTCTTGTCCCCAGTGCTGCGCCTATGCCTCGAGCATCTGCCAATGTCTGTCCTGCTTGACTCCTTCCTCAGCCCCCACCACCCCAGGGAAAACTCGAGGTCCCTCTGCGAGGCATCAAGGCACCTCGTGAGCGGGCCCTGCCTGTCTCTCCGACTGGTCTCTCATCACGTTCCACCTCCCGCTCTGTGCTCCAGCCATGCTCAGCAACCTGCGGTTCCCTGAACTGAGCAGCTGTGGCCTTTGCACTTGCCGCTCCCCCTGCCTGAAATGCCTTTTCTGCCGTCCTGCAACCAACTCCTCTTTGCTCTTCCCGGCTGATCACTGGTGCTGCTGCTTCTGGGAAGCCCTCCTTGACCACCCTCAGCCCAAGGATGCCCTCTGACGGCGCATGAGCCTCCACAGTACAAGCTCCTGCTCCCAATCTCTCCTGTCTGCTGCATGATTGATTATTTGAGGGAATATAATAATGGCCAGGCTCCTGTTCTAGTTCAAAATGCCACGTGCTTTTCCTTCCCAGCACTATGCCCATTTGAATTATGTCATTATTTGTTTAGTGTCCAGTGTCCCCTTCCCTTCTCCTTGGAGCTGTGAGATCTGAGAAGCCCATATGTCTTAATGGGCTTAGAACAGTGTCTGGCCCACAGGCAGTGCCACATACAGGTTCGCTAAAATTATAATTATTTTAGACGGAGACACAGGCTGAGAAGGGCTGGGAATTTTTTAAGTTCACACAGCAAGTTGCCGGGAGGCTCAGAGTGCAGGGCAGTATGGCAGTGTTTGGTGACAAATTTCTGGAGCCAGACTGCTACTGCTTGGGCTCAAATCCCAGCTTCCCGACTTACTCGGGCTAATTTTACTGTGCCTCAGTCTCCCGATCTGTACAAAGGTGACACTGTCTTAGAAGAGCACCTGGCACCCTCAGGAAACAGGCAGCTGCCATTCTTATTACCCAACCTGCCTGCCGCCCTGCTCAGGGCCGTTTCTACCCTTTAGGTTCCTTCCTGTGTGCCCCCCACCCCCACCTTCCCACCTGATCGTACTGCAGAGGAAATTACCTAGGACAAGCACAGCCTCAGGGGAGAAAGTGGAGGAGGAAGCTTCTCCCAAGGGTATCACCACAGGGGCATGTGTGGAAAGTGAGTGGGGCTGGGAGGGGGGATTTCCACTACCTGCCCACTGCTATCCTGAGTCACCTCCATGTGGCAGCCCCCTGAATTCTGATGCAGCCTCAGATTCTAGGTCATGTGGGTCTGGCGTGGACTGGGACTACTGTGTGTAGACTCCGGAGGTCCCAGCCAGCTCTGGGGCCTTGGACTTGGCAGCCCTTGCAATCCCCCAACCACCGCCGCCCCCCCACCCCCGCCACTGTTTCCTCTGTTTCCCAATTGCCGCACCAGAAGAATCATAGTTGCTTCTTGTTTCCTTGTCTGTCTCCAAGTGGCTGGACTCAGTGACCACTCAGAGACTCCTGGCTGTGCCTTCTCCTGCTCCTTGGAAGTCTGTTTCTTCTTCCCCTATCTGTCCCTCTCAGACCCCTCCTCTGTTCCCTGATAGGTCTTCACTGAGTCAAGAGCGGGGGTCTTAGCCACAAGCCACAGGCAGAAGGTTATTCCTGCCTCACCACTTTTAGTCGAGACCTCGAGACCCCCATGCTGAGATCCTGAGCTATAAAGCAGGCCTCTCAAATTAGCATGCCCCAAACTGAGTCCATCAACTCTGCCCCGTGTCCCCATCCTGGCCAGAAGTGTGGGTGTCACTCTTGACAGTGCCTTTTCTTTCACCTCCACATCCAAACAGTGCCCAACCTCTCCTGATCATGACTTAGGAACAACAAGAAATTGGTAATGTGTCTGTTGGAAATGCATTAGGCTGCAGGGAATGGAGGAACTGACCATGGCTTAAACAAACAGGGGATTATTTGGTCACCTAACAAGAAGTCCACTTTGGGAGGCTGAGGTAGGTGGATCACTTGAGGTCAGGAGTTTGAGACCAGCCTGGCCAACATGGTGCAACCCTGTCTCTACTAAAAATACAAAAATCATCTGGGTGTGGTGGCTTGTGCCTGTAATCCAAGCTACGTGGGAGACTGAGGCAGGAGAATCACTTGAACCTGGGAGGCGGAGGTTGCAGTGAGCTGAGCTCGCACCACTGCACTCCAGCCTGGGGGACACAGCAAGACTCTGTCTCAAAAAAAAAAAAAAAAAAAAAGTCCAGAGGTAAGCCATAGTTGGTTCTGTAGGCCAGTGACAACAGGACTAGCACCCCAGAGATTCCTTTGGCCTTTCTCGTGTCTTGCCTCATGGAGACAACATAGCTGCTGTAGGTCTGGATGTCACACTTGCTTCAAGACTGCTTTCAAAGGGGGAGACCATGCTGAGCTTGTCCATCCCTTGGGATCAGGAAAGCAAGCACTCTGGGGAGGCTCCTACACCAGGCTTCCTCTTAGGTCTCATTGGCCAGAACTGGTCACATGGTTGCTCCTAGCTGCAAGGGAGGCAGGAAAACAGGAGCTGGATGGTGATGTTTGGCTCAGACCCGTCATGATCTATCACCTTGGGGCTAGGCACATGGCCACTCTGAACAAAACCAGTGCTTGGTTAGCCAGGAAGAAGCAGAGGATACAGTAAATGCTCACAGTGTCCACCAAGGTTGGTGGCCCTTGTGTCTATCTCCTCCTGTCCCTGCTGTCTGGCTCACATGCACACAATCTCTTAATCAGACCACTTCAGGACCTCCCAGTGGTGCTCTCTCCCCTAAGTCTCCACCCATTCTTTCCTCCCCACACACCTGCCTGAGCTGGCCCCTAAAGCCAAAATTGTATTTATGTTTTACTTTCTTTCTTTCTTTCTTTCTTTTTTTTTTTTTGAGATGGAGTCTGGCTCTGTCCCCCAGGCTAGAGTGCAGTGGCATGATCTTGGCTCACTGCAACCTCCGCCTCCTGGGTTCAAGCGATTCTCCTGCCTTAGCCTCCCAAGTAGCTGGGATGATGGGTGTCATTTTTTTATATTGCCTGCCTCAGCCTCCCAAAGTTCTGGGATTACAGGCATGAGCCACCATTTTACTTTCTTCCAAAGTATGTTTTACTTTCTTCTGAAGCCCTACATGACTCCCCATTGCCTACATAAGTTCCCTACTTGGCCCTTGGGACCCTCAGACTGGCCTCACCTGCGCACTCAGTCTCAGATCACACTGGCCCCAGCCATACAGATCCGGGCCCACTCCGCAGGTCATGCTGCTCCCACTGCCTGGAAGACCCTCCCCAATTTCTACCTGGCAGATGCCTATTCTACCCTCTAGACCTGCTCACATGTCATCTCCTTTTTGAGGATTTCCCCAACCTGGGCACAATTAGGCAGTCTCTCTATGGGGGTCACATAGCACCCCATCCAGGGCACATGTTGACTTTGTTTACATCTGTGACCCAGGGCCTAGGACAGGGCCTGGTATGGAGATGTTTGATGCCTTATTCCCAGGTGAATCTGTGCAATTGACAGCAATGTGTTAGACTATAATTTGGCTATTGCTATATGGTCACCAGCTTCCCATTCCTACACTCAATATGGCCACCAGCTTCCCATTCCTGCACTCAGTATGGCCGCCAGCTTCCCATTCCTGCACTCAAGGCCTGGGCTGTGTCTTGTTATCTCCGTATTCCCAGGGTCAGTGGCTGGACCTGGCCTGGGAAGGGGTGCTGAGAGACGAATGTTGGCTTCACAACATTAGTTTGCTTTGCACTCTACCTCATACCCGGTGGGCCCACAAAACACATCAGGGTGATAAGCAGGATCTCTTTTCCCCTCCTTCGCACAGTGACTTTGAACAGCTTCCGGATGATGTTGCCATCTCGGCCAACATTGCTGACATCGAGGAGAAGAGAGGCTTCACCAGCCACTTTGTAAGACAGACTCCTAGTCCTTCACCCAACAACCTCTGAACTTCCACCCAGCTGACCTCTGAACCTTGCCCTCTGACCTCTGAACCTCCAATTCTCTGATCTCTTAACTTCTATCTCAGTGGTTCTCAACAGGACCGATTTTGCCCATTTGACATTACCCTGGGAGATTCTGATTATTGCATCTTGGGGCAGGTCTACTCCACATCTAGTGGGTAGAATCCAGGGTGCTGCTAAACACCCCACTGTGCACATGACAGCCCTGTCCCCAGTAAAGAACTGTCCGGCCCCAGCATAATACTAAGATTGAGAAATCCTGATCGCGTCCTTTGACCTCAGAACCTCCACCTGGAGAGTCGGGGGTGAGGGACTTTAGTGTTGCCCCCACAACACCCCTGTCATATTCAGACACAGATGGAGGGGGCATCCTGCGCCCACAGCACAGCCAGGGGCAGGTTCACTCTGCACCATGACCTCCAAGGCATGGCTCCTCATTTCTTGGGCCTGAATGTGTGTTTGGCCTATTTCCAAGGGCTCTTGCCTCTAACACTAGGTCTCACTTCCTCTCTTTTTCCAGTTTTTTTTTTCTTTTCTTTTCTTTTTTTTTCGCAAAGCTCGTCTGCTTCTGGGGCGCCAGCCTTTTGACTTGACAGGGGTCTCCTTCTCCAGAGACCCTTCTGCATCCTTATCCTCATCATCTTCCTCCTCCTCCTCCTCCCCTTTTCCCTTCCACCTCTTTTTGGCTTGTGCTCCTGGCCCCTGAGCCCTCCCCACAACCTCTGTCCTCCTTAGGTTTTCGTCATCGAGGTGAAGACAAAAGGAGGATCCAAGTACCTCATCTACCGCCGCTACCGCCAGTTCCATGCTTTGCAGAGCAAGCTGGAGGAGCGCTTCGGGCCAGACAGCAAGAGCAGTGCCCTGGCCTGTACCCTGCCCACACTCCCAGGTAGGCGGCCACTCCCGTCCTGCTGCTGCAGAGCTGCTGACTCTCCTTCCTTCCAGGGCCCCTGACACTGTTCTGTGATTTGATCTCAACCCCAGTGAAAACTGTTCATGTAGTTTATAGCCCCCACTCCCGGCAGTTACAGGCTGCCAAGCCCTCCCTGCATGGCTCCCCCTGCCTCACGCCATGGCTTCCACCCCAAGCACTCTAGCCTCACAGCCCCGGAGCTCTGATGACCATCGTGGCCACTCGCTCCTGCTGTCCACTACCAGGAGGCCACAGTCTGGAGCACTTCAGCACCTGGCCTCCCTTCCTCAGAGACAGGAATCCCCCAGTCTGGTCCCTAAACACACTGACTCACCTCCCTGCCCACCCTCAGCTTCCTCCCACGAGACCAGCCCTCTGACTTCATGGTCTTGGCTTCCAGCGTCCCTGTGGCTCTCCTTCTTCTCCTGTCCCGCCAGGAAGCTGGGTGGCCTCAAGCCTCTGCTTGCAAACAGTCTCCCCGCCCCCTGGCCTCCTGGTCCTTCCTCCCCAGCTGGATCCTAACGCGCACCTTGGACAGCGCCAAGCCCTTAGCTGCTCAGCCCCTGCCCTGCAGGAGGAAACCCCATCACGAATGGGTTACACGGGGGTGGTCTCAGCGGCGCCCTTCGTGCCCTGCAAGTTAGAGACAGGGACAATTGTCTCCCTTCCCCAAGCCTCAGGGACCCTTCCCCAAGCTCCAACCCCATCTCCAGTTTGTTTTTTCTGTCTCTGTTTCTGTCTCTCTCTGTCTCAGCATATGACCCCGCTCCTTCTCATCCAGCCCCACCAAGGAACTTGAAGCTCCCCCTAGGAGTCTTGCCTACTCTAAGCCAGCCTCCCCTCTCAGGCTCCATCATTTTCCCTCCTCTCTCTTTTGGGGCTCTCTCCTGACAATCTACCCCTCCTTTTCCTTGTATATTCATCTTCCTCTTGATATACCAACTCCCTCTGCTAAGCGTCTCCACAGCCTCAACCCTCTTCTGTCTTTAAACAATCCTGAGCCATGAAACAGCATTCTTACAAGCCTCCCTGAGCCTCCGTGCCCCCAGGGCCCCCAAAGTTCTCTTTCTTCTTCCTTTGGCATCAAATTCACGCACTGTCTCACCTTGGCATGGCCATCCTCTCCTTAACTCCTCAGCTTGGTTTAGCTCTGACTACTCCACTGAAATTCCTCTCGGTGAGGTGGGCCATGACCCATCAATTCTGGCTTCCATGGCCAGTGCCAAGCCTCATCTTCACACCCCCACTCCTTCCTCTGTTAAGCTTTCTCCAACCTCCTGAGGCACCAGTGTCTCCCAATCCCCTTCCTAGCTTACTAGAGACTCCTTCAGCTTCTCTGTTACAGAATCAACCTTCTCTGCTGCTCCTTGGAAGGTGGGGATCCTCTGAGCAGACATCCTCTCTCCCCTGCCTTGTCTTCTCATTCCAAACACTCACCCTGGCAAACTGACCCATGTCTGGGACTTAATTGTCACGTTTTTGCTCCTAACTCCCAATGTCTAGCTCTAGCCCAGACCCTCCTACCGCCGCCGCCATCACCTCTGTCCATCTCCTGGACACCAGGAGCCAGGCAGGTTTCAGACTTGCTTCCTCGTAGGGGTTCTCTTGGTGAATGGTTCCACCAGTGCGCTCACATGAAGGCACCTGGAGGGGACATTTGTCTCTTGGTAGCCCGTCATATTTCCTTTTCCTCCAGAACATCTGCCTTGAGCTTGAGGAATTGTTCATTCATCCACTTAACAAATGCTCATTCATCTGGGCATGATTCTAGACCCATGGTTCTTAACTTTGGTGGTATGTGGATGTGCCTTGAGAGATGGAAAGAATCCTGGTTCCTGAGTCCTGCCCCCGGAGATTCTGATTTAATTGCTCTGGGGCAAGTGCTACACAGTGAGATATTTACAAGCTCCTTGGGTAGCTTGAATGTGCAGCCGGTGTTGCCACTGTCCTGGGTGATGGGGGTACAGCTGTGAGCCAAGCAGGTGAAAATCCTGCTCTCTTAGAACTAAGAGTCGTGTGTGTGTGTGTGTGTGTGTGTGTGTGTGTGTGTGTGCGCGCTTGGATGAACAGGCAGTAAATAAAAAAGTAAGACAAGAAAAATATCAGCTGGTGATAGCACAACTGAGAGGATGAAAGTTGGATGGTGCCAGAGTGGCCACTTCAGTGCTGTGAAAAGATAACAGGGAAGAATGCTGAGCCATCGGGAAGGGGCTCTGGCCAGGGTTCCTGGCCTGTAGGGGCAGCCCTGAGCCCCGGGGCCATGTTGGGCCAGGCTCCTAGGACAGCTCTTTGTCTCTTCTCAGCCAAAGTCTACGTGGGTGTGAAACAGGAGATCGCCGAGATGCGGATACCTGCCCTCAACGCCTACATGAAGGTACCAGTGGGCCTTGCCACCTTGGCACGTGGAAGGGCATGCAGTATTGGTGGGGGAGCCCACGTACCATCCCTGGGTATGGCTTTGGGAACTGGGGCTGGCTCTCTGGCTCTGATGGCCCCATCTTCAATCCCTAAAGGCCTGGTCTGGGGAGTAAAACAGGATGCGTCCTTAGGGTTCCAGAGATAGGAGCAGGAGCAATGGAGAAGGTAAAAGAGCCACACTAGGAATTGACAAGTCTTCATTTAATGCTCCAAGCCCCACAGGTGAATGTCTATGCCAGGAGTTAAAATACAAAGGTGAATTCCATCCAGTGTCTGCCCCCAAGGTACCCACTGTCCCATGGGAATGCCAACAGGTGGATCATAAGATCACACGGAGACATATGTGTGCCTCCATCATGGGGGTGTGGCCAAGCAGGCCGCAGGTTGCTCATATAGCATCTTTGTGCAAACTAGAGTAGGCCTCCTCTGGGACAACTCACTCCCTTACGTGAACATGGGCTGGATTTTAGCTACACTCATGGGTCTTGGCTGGGGGCCCTTGTGTATTCTCCGACTTGCAAACTCTGCATCTCTATGAGATGGGAGCGTAGAGGAAGGAGCATCTTAAAGGCAGAGGCCAAGGTGGTCAGGAAAGGACTTCCACCAGCCACAGCCATCCAGGAAAGGGGCAGTGTTCCTCATGAGGTGGCAGTGAGTGCACCGTCGCTAGAGACCTGATAGTGACCTCAGGAAGCTGGCAAGCGAAGCCCTCCTCCCAGCCCAGCGGCATCCTCACAGCTGGAGAGCGCTGGGCTAGGATCCTTTAGTCTTGACTCTGACACTGACTGGCTGGGTGATTTGGGGTGAGTTGCCCATCCTCTCTAGGCCTTGGTTTTCACACTTGTGAAATGGGGCAGTGCCCTCTAGTATCACAGGAGTGAAGTTGGGATCTGTCGAGAACAGGATGAGAAAGTGCTTTGTAAACTGTGAACCTGCTTCCAGAATGTGAGAGATCTTGACTCCTGATGGAGGGAAGGAGCAGATGGAGGGCAGAGGAGGTGGGAGGAAGGAGGAGAGAGCAGGTAGCTGCAGGAATCCTGGGCTCTGAGCAGGGAAGAGGGAGGGAGGGGAGCTGGGTGGGCTCCAGCTGCTCCTTCAGGGTGGCTGAGGCTCCACCCTTCTCCCCCTGGGCTAGAATAGGGGAGTGGGCTGTGAAGGGAGGGAGGGAGGGAAGGAGGAAGAGAAGGCAGGAGGCGAGGCTGGGGAACTGGGGCTCCTCATTCCACACCTGGTCTTAGCAACCAGCAGCCCAGAGGATCCATCTCTGCCTCTTTGTGTCCAATTGGGTTCCTGGAAGCCAGAGATCATTCAGGGCAGGAATCTCTGCCATGGCCACCCCATCCTGTGCTTGCATACCCTCAGAGATGGGGAGCTCACTACCACTCCGCCCTGACCCAGGCTGCCTGTCCCATTGTTGGGCAGCTATGAGAAAAGCCCAACTCTCTGTAAGTCCTACCCACTGGTCTCACCCCGCCCTCATGAAGAATGTGAATCACATGATAATGACAACTGCCTGGAACTGCGTGAAGACCTTTGACTGGCAACCAGGAGACTCTTGATACACGTTTATTGATAAATGAATAATCTTATTTAATCCCCTCAATAACTTGTGAGTTAAGTGTGACAGAGCAGTTAGGTAGGTGGGATGAGATTTGAATTCACATCTCTGTGACTCCAGGGTTTGAGCTCTTACCCACTGTGCCTCGTTGTAATGAAAATCACAGTAACAATGATGACATCTAACTTTGATGGGCACCTGGTATATGCCTGGTGTTGTTCTAAGGATTCTGCATGTATTTACTCATTTAATTCTCACACAATCCCACGAGGGAGAGGCTATTATTGTCCCCATTTTATTAATGACCATCTGGAGCCAGGTTTGCCCAAAGCCACCCAGCTGGTGACAGGCAGAGCTGGGATTCGATCCCAGGAGCCCCTGGCTCCTTAAACACCTCCCAGGCTGTCCCCATATGACAGCCTTTTCCGGGCTCTGCATCCCCAGTTCCTCTCGGACAAAGTTCCCCGACCCCACCTCATCCTGCTGCCCCCATGGGATCCTCTGCAGGGCTCTGGGTGCCTCTGGAGCCTCAGCACCCAAAGCCAACCCTCAGTGTCCCCAGACCTGTGCGCTTGGAGTTTGGTGAGATGACCCCGCCAGGCTCTGGGTGCTCGCGTCCTCACAGCTTCAAAGTCTTTGCATCGTGGTGGGTGTAACCAGCTTGGATGAAACAAGGACACTAGGGCTCAAGTCCGGGCCCTGTCACTTAGCTCGGCTCCTCTGGGCCAGGTACTTTCCCTCTCCAAGCATCAGTTTCCTCAACTATGATATGAGATAAAGTATCAGGAAGCATTTTGTAGGCTATAATGCCACCAACTGTTGTTAATTTGGGTTATTTTGGGAGCCCCCCACCCCCGCCAACTGTTGTCTCACCTTAAGCTTTGGGTAGCCTTTAGTGGCAGATGGCTCTGGGTGCCCCAGCTCTGTCCCTTGCTAGGCTTTGTGGCCTTGAGCATATCCCTTCACCTCTCTGATCCTAACTCAAGGGATGTCATGAGATGGAGCAAGGGCACACATGTGATACCCACCTGGTAAAGTCACCGCCGGGTCATGTTAGTTGTCATCACCATTACTGCTGTTTCTGGAGAACTTTAAGTCTTTTCCAAATGGACTCTTCTCAAGCCCCTGGTCCCTCTCCTGACCTTGGACCCAGGAGCAGAGCTTGTGAAGTGTTACCTTCAGCATGCTGAGTTTTCTTATTCTTTTAAACAACGCGTTTCTGTTATCAGGCATCATGCATTAGTAAAGAGAGGAGGGCTGATGTCAGGGCTCGGGGATGGGACATCTAGGCTGGGGTGTCCAGATCTTTCTGCTGACTACCCCACCGGTTCTGCTGTCTCACCCACACAGAGCCTGCTCAGCCTGCCGGTCTGGGTGCTGATGGATGAGGACGTCCGGATCTTCTTTTACCAGTCGCCCTATGACTCAGAGCAGGTGCCCCAGGCACTCCGCCGGCTCCGCCCGCGCACCCGGAAAGTGTAAGTGACCAGCCCCTGGCCTTCCACATGGCCAGAGCCCTGGGTCCCTGCTGGAAAAGCATCTCTTTTCCCTGAAAGGAGAGAAGGAAAATACAGATCAGCCATATCCCTGGACACTCCAGGATGATTTGATTTATTAGATGGGTTTAGAAAGTCATGTTCAGGCTTGGAGGGACAGAGGGTGTGTGCCTTTCAATGTGATAATAAGGATTGGAAGACGAGGACTGGGATATTGACTCCAGAGAGTTTGGTGCCACAGCAACTACTGGGGATAGCCCAGAAGCTCTGGGTGCCTGGAAAGAATTGGGGGCAGAGAGGAGGGAAAAGCTGCCCCATCCACAAACATTCTCTGAGCATCTCTGGGAATGCCTTCTCCCTGGTGTGTTGGAGCTCCGTGGGGCCAGCTATGGCTCTAGTTGTATCATGCTGGCCTCCAGAGCACACTGTTCCTCCCTTATTCCAAAAAGCCCATCCTTCCCACCAAAAATTCAAGCCACTCGTAGACTGCTGGGCTTCCAAAGCCCAGGTTGCTGCTACTAAGAATTCTGGGAAAAGCAGGACGGAGCTCCTGAGCTCCCCACCAGCTCCTCCCTCTGCTTCCTCCCACCAATGTCTCCAAGGGTCCTCTCCATGCCTGGCATCTCCCCTGTGCACACAGGCAGGTGTGTCTTAATTCCAGCTGTGCCATGTGGCAGCCGCAGGCCCCAGAGCAAGGCACTTCACCTCTCCAACCTTCAGTTTCCCTCAGCTGAAAAATTAGAAACAGTCACATTTACATCAGAGCTTGGTTGTAGGGAGCAGAGGAACAAACACATCTGAACACTTTGGCAAGTGAAAGGCACTGAATGAGCGTGTATCCCCTTCCCCACCTGCTTTCTGAGCCTGGCTTCCTGGTCCATAAAGAAGGGAGAACAATCCCACCTCCAAAGAGGTTGTGAGGATTTGGGGACAAGTGTGCCCGCCCAGAGGAGCAATTGCAGCCACATTTCAGCATCTTCTGTCTCCTCTGCCTTCCCTGCTCCTTGCAAGGGGCTCCTCTGGACACAGGAGCAGGAAGCTGGGCCCTGAGAGAATCACAGGGCTAACAAGCCCCTCTTCTCTCTCCACAGCAAGAGCGTGTCCCCACAGGGCAACAGCGTTGACCGCATGGCAGCTCCGAGAGCAGAGGTAACCCCCGCCCCCGCGCTGGCCAGGCTCTCACACTGTGGGCATCTGCCTTGGCCCACCTGCCAGCCACTGGGCCTCTCCTGCTGGGTGCTGCTGTGTGCCTGGGACAGTGCTGGGCACCAGGAGGAAGGAAGGGGTTACAGCCTCAGCCTCTGCCACTGGGGGTCCCCCGAGCCCAGCTAAGGGGAGGGAATGTGACCAGCGTGCAGAGCCAGAGGAGAATGCTTCCATCCCTACGCTCATCCGGACAGTTTACCTGGGCCTCCTCTGAGTCAGCCCTGCCTTAGGCATGGAAGCTGCAGAGATGACTCAGACAAGGCCCAGCCCGCGATGAAGCCTGGGGACCAGGGTGGGTGCTCAGCCCAGAGAGTTCGAACCCTTCCCTGTGTGCTCACCCCCACCAGGTTTGGAAGGAGCACCCATCCTGGAGTCAGGGAGACCTGGGTTCAATTCCCAGCTCCTCCACTAAAAAATGGGGTGGCCTCAGAGAAGTCGCTTATTCTCCTCAAGCCTCAGTTTCTACATCTGTAAAATGGGAGACTAAAGTATGTAAGGCACTTCTATAGGAACTCAGTGAGTGTTCTCTCCTTCCCTCCTTACTGCACGCTTCTCCTCAGGCTCTATTTGACTTCACTGGAAACAGCAAACTGGAGCTGAATTTCAAAGCTGGAGATGTGATCTTCCTCCTCAGTCGGATCAACAAAGACTGGCTGGAGGTGAGTTCAGAAGTGAGGATGGAGGTGAGATTGGAGGTGAGGTTGGAGGGAAATTAAAAGTGAAGATAGAGGTGAGGGTGGAAGTGCGATTGGAGGTGAGGATGAAGGTGAGGGTGGAGGTGAGATTGGAGGTGAGGATGGAGGTAAGAGTGGAGGTGAGGATGGAGGTGAGATTGGAGGTGAGGATGAAGGTGAGATTGGAGGTGAGATTGGAGGTAAGGTTGGAGGTGAGATTGGAGGTGAGGTTGGAGGTGAGATTGGAGATGAGATTGGAGGTGAGGATGGAGGTGAGGGTGGAGATGAGGGTGAAGGTGAGGATGGAGATTGAGGGTGGAGATGAGGGTGAAGGTGAAGATGGAGGTAAGGGTGGACGTGAGGATGGAGGTGAGACTGGCAGTAAGGTTGGAGGTGAGGATGGAGGTGAGATTGGAGGTGAGGGTGGAGGTGAGACTGGAGGTGAGGATGGAGGTAAGATTGGAGGTGAGATTGGAGGTGAGGGTGGAGGTAAGGGTGGAGGTGAGGATGGCGGTGAGTTTGGAGTTGAGGATGAAGGTGAGGTTGGAAGTGAGGTTAGAGATGAGGTTGGAGATGAGGTTGGGAATAAGGATGGAGGTGAGGTTGGAGGTGAGGATGGAGGTGAGAATGCAGGTAAGGTTAGGCTGAGATTAGAGGTGAGGCTGGAGGTGAGGTTGCTTCAGGCATTGTATGCTTCAGAGACTGAGGATGGTCTCAGAAGGCCTCAGGGAAGAGATGCTATCTGAGGATAGTCCTGGAGATCCAGGCAGGTTGGGGAGCCTGCGGGAACAAAGCCTTTGGGGAGGCAGGTGTTCGGTGGCAGCAGAACATTCTTGGAGCTCATGCTTTGGTTCTGACCCTGAAAAATGGGTTGCTTAGGGCAAGTAAGTTAACCTACTGAGTTTAGTTTCTTGGTCTGTAATGGGTGTCTCAGCAGGGGCACTATTGACATTGGGGCCAGATGGTCCCTTGTGGGGTTGTCCTGAGCATTGCAGGCTGTTCAGCAATATCCCTGGCCTCTCCACTAGATGCCAGCAGCACTGCTAAATTGCACCAATCACATGGCTCTCCAGATATTTGCTCCTGAGGGGTGAAATCGCACACTTGTGTAATATGGGACAACAGTACATACCTTGCCCGCAGCAGTAAAAGCTGCTGATGAAGAGTGTGAACTCAGAGTCAGCCTGTTTGGGCCATTTCCTAGCTCTGTTTTTCACTAGCTTTGTGGACCTTTGGAAACTTGCTCAAACTTGCGGTTTCCTTTTCTGTAAATGTTTCTTCATCGGCTTCCTGGAAAGGGTAAAGGAGGTGGTAGATGGTCAGGGCTCGCCCCAGAGCCTGGATGTGCGGCGCCTGGCCAGGTACTAGGGTCATTAGGAGACTTAAATGAAACTTCAAAGCCAGGGACTTTCCCAGTCACTGCTTTGTCCCTGTGTGGCCCACAGAAGGGCTGTGTTCTGACTCAGTGAGTGGAGGTGGGAAGTGGCTGTGTTGGGCCTTGGCCTGGGACCAGCCTTTTGTATTAGGTCCTGTCTTCAGACTTAGTGCTCCTGTGGGGAGTGTTGAAGGAGGTTCTGGGACAGGCCCAGAGGCAGGGTCAGCCCCCAGGGGTCCCAGGACCTTTAAGAGTTGGGTTGGGTCCCTAGCGTCCAGGCCCTGGAGAGGAGCTAGTAGTGACCACTGGTTTAGCCAGTTTAGCAGTTTCCATTTTACCCTAATCATAGATCTCCATCTCAGGAACTCAGGGCTCTTACAGAGGCCTGAGGAGTATCTCTGGGCCACTTTCCAGAAATAGAAAACATGTATTGCCTTCCTGTTTTCCGGAAAGTCCTACTTATCAGTATGCTGGCTAACTTCTGGCCTCAGGTTGAAGGTGGGGGCAGAGGGGCAGGGAGGGGACCACTTTGAGCCTTGGTTAATATGTTTGTAAAATGGCATGTAAATAATCCATGTTCCATAGGGTCGTTGTGAAGATGAACAGAACACGTGCCCAAAGCCCAGGCCATGGCCGGGTCTGGGTCTGATTTCTGGCTACTTGGTCTAGAGTAGAGGCACAGTTGTATCTGATGAATGAATGAGTGAGTGAGCGGGATCAGCAGCAGGCCCTTCCTCACCCCTCATCCTCTTCCTCCCCTGTTCTATTTTCCTCTGTAACACCTGCTGCCATCTGACTCACTGGATAGGTCATTGTTCACAGCGCGCACAGCCTGTCATTCCCCATCATACTGGAAACTCCGTGGGGGCAAGGACTTATTATTATTTTTTTATTATTATTTTTTCTTTGAGACAGAGTTTCACTCTGGTTGCCCAGGCTGGAGTGCAATGGCGTGATCTCGGCTCACTGCAACCTCCACCTGCCAGGTTCAAGTGATTCTCCTGCTTCCGCCTCCCGAGTAGCTGGGATTACAGGCCCGCACCAACACGCTTGGCTAATTTGTATATGTTTAGTAGAGACAGGGTTTCACCAAGTTGGCCAGGCTGGTCTCGAACTACTGATCTCAGGTGATTCACCAGCTTCGGCCTCCCAAAGTGCTAGGATTACAGGTGTGAGCTACTGCGCCCGGCCCAAGGACTTTTATCTATTTTGAGAGCCCAGAGCCTGTCACGTGGCTGGTTCTCAAGAAGACTTTGTTGAATGAATAAGTGAATGAGTGAGATAAAAGCAGCTTTCTATATAAATCCAGATTCTGGCATATTGTAAAACCCAAATATAAGCCTTCTTAGAAGTGACCAGCTCAGCGAACTTCCTCGCTTTCCCTCCTCCCTCTACAGAAGAAGACCCGGACCTCATCTGCCTTTCCCCATCACTAGAACGGGGCTGAGGGCTCTGAGGCGTGGCTCTGCTGCCTCTCCTCTCACCAGCATGGCATCCCTTCTCTTCCTCTGCAGGGCACTGTCCGGGGAGCCACGGGCATCTTCCCTCTCTCCTTCGTGAAGATCCTCAAAGACTTCCCTGAGGAGGACGACCCCACCAACTGGCTGCGTTGCTACTACTACGAAGACACCATCAGCACCATCAAGTCTGTGGCCTGGGAGGGAGGGGCCTGTCCAGCCTTCCTGCCATCCCTACGACCACCGCCCCTCACATCACCTTCTCATGGGTCCCTCTCCCACTCCAAAGCCCCCAGTGGCTCCCAGATGAGCCACAATGCTGTAACAAGCCATCAACGTCCAGGGTGGCCTGGCCAGCCTCATTCCCCTTTCCCCCACCCCACACCCCACTTCCAGCCTGATGCCTCCTTACTCCAGCCTGTCACCCCCTTAGGGACATCGCGGTGGAGGAAGATCTCAGCAGCACTCCCCTATTGAAAGACCTGCTGGAGCTCACAAGGTGAGGGGCTGGGAATGGGGCTGGGGAGTTAGATACTCTGGAGAAGAGAACGCAGGGAGAAATGTTAAGCACTAGTATTAAGGTGCTGGGGTTTTGCGTGTACTTTGTCTTCTCTTTTTATCCGCAGCCCAGCCCTGCAGGTTAGGCAGCATCTCCCCACTTTAGAGATGAGCGGGGAAGCTGCAGAGAGGTTAGGGGAACTGGTTGAGCTCACGCAGGTTGTGGGTTTAGATCCGGATCTGCAGCTGGAGCTAAAGTCTCTCTGGCTAAAAGCCTTGGACTTGAACCATCCACTCTCAGGGACTCACTACCCCCCCAGGTCCAGGACATTGCTGGACAGTTATTTTACAGAATGGTAACCGCATTGCTACATTTCTGACTATAAAACTTGTACCAACTCATTATATATTAAAAAAGAAATGTCAGTAACCATGTCAGAAAGATACAAAGAAGTGAAATCACCTCATATTTTTACTCCCCTCGTTATGTGACGTACACTCAGATTTCTTCAGTACTTACACCCCACACACACATGCACACACAAAAGTCACTTTGGCTGCACAAAACCTTTCAGTGGCTACATCATTAACATGGCCATGCGCTTTTGCTGGCCTCTTAGGATTTCTTCTGCTTTTTTACTACTCTAAACAACATTGTACAGACCATCTTAGTTAACCTATTTGATGACTTATCTGATCATTTCCTTTGAATGATTTTCAAGAAGTGGATTTGGGGATTAAAGCATTTGCAAGTCTCATAGGCTTCTGGCCCACACTGTGAAATTACTGGTAGAAAGCTCAGATCAATTTCTACGTACACCAGCCAAGTAGAAGGATGCGCATCTTCCCGCACCCAGGCCAGACAGTTCCTGTCCTTACAAGGTTCTCCTCAATAGCCTCACACAGGTGTCTCTCTGAGGCTTTATACAGCCCCAGAGTGCCCAGTCAAACCCACTCTTCTTCACAACTCTTAATCCTTTAGCACATTTATACACGAGACATTTCAGGCTGTGCCACTAATTTCCGTGAAAGTCTCTTCTCCGTCTCCTTTTTTTTTTTTGAGATGGAGTCTCACTCTGTTGCCCAGGCTGGAGTGCAGTGGTGCAATCTCAGCTCACTGCAACCTCTGCCTACTGTGTTCAAGTGATTCTCCTGCCTCAGCCTCCTGAGTGGCTGGGATCACAGGTGCATACTACCTCGCCCAGCTAATTTTTGTATTTTTAGTAGAGACAGGGTTTCACCATGTTGGCCAGGCTGGTCTTGAACTCCTAACCTCAGGTAATCTGCCTGCCTCGGCCTCCCAAAATGCTGGAATTATAGGCGTGAGCCACCGCACCCAGCCTCTTCTCCCTTTTAGGCCTCGATATCCCCATCTGTACAATGGGAGGTTAGATTACTTGGATGACACGGGCTTGTATCAGGCTCTGACTTTTTCTTACTCCTGGCTTCAGGACATAAAACCCTTTTCACCCCCTCTCCCTACCCCTACCTTACGCTTAGGCCCTTTGATTATCCCTGACTTTTCCCATGCAGGCGGGAGTTCCAGAGAGAGGACATAGCTCTGAATTACCGGGACGCTGAGGGGGATCTGGTTCGGCTGCTGTCGGATG